>NW_021160023.1:0-300000 GCF_000001405.40 Homo sapiens | reverse complement strand
GCTGTGTTGACAACTGATGTGATACCTCTGTTCTTGTCTTCCTAGATTTTAAGAATTTAAACAAGAGACACAAAGAAAAAAAGTACAGCATAATTTATTGGAAAAGAAAATATTTGAAAGTTAAGTGCAGAATACAGTACACCCTGAGAGAGATACTCCAGGGCGGACTGCTCATAAGAGTGAGACAGCGTGGACTGTCGCTGGAGAAACCCCTTTATGGCAGTTTTACATTATTATTAATAAGGAGGAGGGAAGAGGAGTTGCTAGTAAACATGTTCTCTGTGGTATTCTGGGTGCATATGCGCAGTAGCTGTACATGCTTGTTCATATGTTGCATGTCTCGTTAGCATCTTATATTTCCACCCAGGAGTGTATTTCTGTGTGTTTGTTTGTTTGTTTGTTTGAGACAGAGTCTCGCCGTGTTGCCCAAGCTGGGGTGCAGTGGTGTGATCTCTGCTCACTGCAACCTCTGCCTCCTGAGTTCAAGCCATGCTCGTGCCTCTGCCTCCTGAGTATCTGGGATTACAGGCATGCACCATCATACCCTGCTAATTTTTGTATTTTTAATTTAGACGGGGTTTCTCTATGTTGGCCAGTTTAGTCTCGAGCTTCTAGTTTGAAGTGATCCATCTTCCTCAGCCTCCCAAAGTGCTGAGAGTAGAGGTATAAGCCACCGTGCCTGGCTAGGGGGTGCATTGTTTGCTATTAAAATAAGCAAAATTTAAGTTTGAGGGCAGGTAAAATCAAAATACACATGCTCTCTAGAACAGAAAGTCCTTAATGAGGATAGCTTTGCTCGAATAAGCCCAATTACAATGCGAATGCTACGGCTTATTGTGTCGGCTGTACAGTCACCATGGTTTCTGTATCCTGAGATCATGGTCATTTTCTGTACTATCTATTCTGCCTCAATTTCCCCCTAAGAGATTTTAGGGCAATAACCATATTGGAGGTTGAGGGGTTAGACCACTTTTTCTGGAGCTGTTTCCTGCTGAGTGGGTGTTACTTCTGCCTAGCCTGGGCCTTAAAGTTTCTTCCTGTGTGATCTAACAGGGTGTAAACCATGTCGTTCGTGGAACCAGTGGGAAGATGTTGGCAGCCAAAGATTGAAAGCCTTGCAAACCATCATGCAAACATGGAGCTGCCACAAGAACATAGCAGGAAATCAGTTAACATTTTAAACAAAATTGGAACAAAAGTAGAAGTTGAAAATATAATAATGACGGGTACTATTAAAGAGAGCAAGGCAGGCAATGGACATTGCTTTCATGTTCCCATGGAAGTTCCTAGAGATTCAATTTTGTCTGCCTGGGTGATGATATTATTAATATTTTCTTGGACTAAACCAGACTGATTGATCTCAAAAAACAGCATTCTTCTTTTAGATATAAACATGTTCCTCTTTGCTTGGCTGGGAGAAGATCCCAGGCTCTTTGGTTTTGTTGGAATACAGTGGCCATGGAGTCCAGACGTTGTTGAAGTCTATTGAGGCCCTCTGCTGCCTGTTGGGGACACATTTACTGAGATTTTCTGAGATAGTTTATACTGGATTCCCAAGGATCCACCTTATGGTGACATTTGTGCTGCAAAAGTATTCTGCTTTAAAATGGTGAAAGCAGCAAAAGTTTTAAGTCTTTTCTATTTTTCGCAAATAAGAAAAAGTTTTGTGCAGCTGAGTTGGCAGCAGTCATTGGGTCCATTTATGGATGGTGAAGTTGAATGGTGGTCAAAGTTAGAGACTGGAAGGCTTCAGTAAACGCGCTGAAGTTGTCTGAGAGCCATCAGAGCTGTTGCTTACATTGGATTAGATCATTTACTGGGAAGAGAACAAGCACTCTGATGGTCCTCTCTCCATTTGAGACTTTCTGTAAGCGGATCAAATTCTCTGGCCCTGCATGGTGTGAAGCTCCACTGTGAGTAACTGCAGCTGGACTGGTCTCTATTGTAACTGGCAAGGCTGATAGAGGAGCATAAGGAGGAGGTTAAACAAGCTTAGATTCTGCAGAAGACTCTGATAGTGTGGGGACGCTGGGGATTCTAAAGCAGGTGTAGGCCTCTGAGGGCCCCTATCTGGAGCTGGTATTAGGCTGTGGGGTCTGGGGTCCCTTGCCCATAAAACAAATGATCTTCTAATGGTTCTGAGGGGCTTTGTGGCTTACTAGGCTTTAGCCCACAGGTGCTGCATAGAGCTGGGTTTTGTTGTCGGGCCAGAAAGTCTTGCACATAGGATACTTCAGACCATTTTCCCTGATTACTACAGAAAAGATCTAGCTGTATGATGGTGTTAAATTTCACAGTCTCATTCTCCAGCCATGTTTTGTCAGCTAATCTGTATGCAGGCTAAATAGTTTTACAAAAGAAGATAATTGTTTTTTTGCTTCATTTAGCCAAAAGCTGTTTCAATTTTTAAATATACATCCCAGGTGTGTTTCAGTGACAGTAGAGGAAGTGATTCCCATGGTGCCGAGAGAATCCTGCAAACGACAGAACATGTACTAAAGTCCAGGAGGCTGTGGGCAGCCCCATGAGCCAAGTGGAACCACCAAGTTGTCCAACTCATCCCCTTGAAACCCCATTAACTGAAGCTCTAGGAGGTCATAGGCATTTGCCATGCACCGTCCTAGCTCTCACCAGCGCTGGACATCTCCAGCCCTGCCGAGATGACCCCCACTGCTCGCTGGGGAGCAGATGTCTGGCTGACAAGCCTTTCCCTAATTCAGTGGTTTGCCATTTATGATGCCCAATTATAACACCTGCAATGCTCAGATTCAATCCCTATGACTGGGCATATCCATGACTGTACATCTTTTGTTCAGCAAAGAAAGCCTGTTGAAGAACAATTTCAAGGAGCTGGGAAATGCATAAAGCCTAAAGGGACAGGGTTTCCCCAGAACTTTAGTGAAACAGTGCTGGAAGAACCAGCGATAGTTAACCAGGTAGTCTGGAAGTGCCACAGTATTCACGGCAAGTAAAGGGAAAGTGAAATCAGTGAAGCGGACAGACCTCTCTCCAGGCCATGGCAAAAGAAATGTTGATGGCTGATGTAATACCTTGATTCTTATTTTCTTAGTTTAAAAGAATTTAAACAAGAAACACACAGCAAAAGAAGTACAGCATAGAGTAATTTATTGCACACAAAAAAAGAAAAGACTACTTTGAAAATTAAGTGCAGAATAGACGGTACATTCTGAGAAAGAGATTCCAGGGCAGGCTGCTCATAAGAGTAAGACACCATTAATTGTTACTGGAGAAACCCTCCTTCTGGGGGTTTTGCACGATTATTCATAAGAAGGTGGAAAGAAGTGTTAGTGTAAGCATGTTTTGAGTGGTCTTCTGGGTGCACATGTGCACTAACTGTACATATTTGTGCATACATTGCATGTCTCATTAGCATCTTAAGTCTCCACCTAGGAATGTGTTTTTACTATTAAAATGAGCAAAAGTTCAGTTTGAGGACAGATAAAATCAAAATGCACATGTTCTCTAGAAGTAAAAGTCCCTACTGAAGATAGCGGGTTTCAAACGACCCCAAGTGCTCCACATCTTAAATGTCGCTCCAACAAAGCTGGAACACTATCTGCTCCTGAGGGATCCGGTCCCATTTGTGTTTCTGAGACACTGGCAAGTCAGGAGTGACTTGAGATGAGACCGATGATTTCAAGTGTAAAATGCCTAAATAGTCAGCAGCTTCAGGTTTCATTTTGGAGCTTGTCCACTTAAATGGGTTGATGAAAATGGCTCACAAGACTCATGCCTCGGAAATGGGGTTTTCTCCTTTGCTCTTAGCAGATTTTGTGCAACCCAATAATTAACCTTCCTGATGCCTCAACTTTCACATTCGTGAAAAAGGCGCCATTGAGAGTGACATTTCCAGGAAGCCACAGACCTTGTCAACCCCTACAGAATTCTGAAGCTGTTCATAAGCAGGCCACGTGGAAGATTTCTCTCAAAAGCTGTTGAGCATGAGGCTTGGCTAGAGAAAAAAGAGGGCTGCGGCACAATGGACAGTGTCTCAGACATCAGGACAGTTTCCACAGCAGTTTAGGAAAGAAGGTAGCGCCCTGGGCTGCAGAAGGCGCAATGCTCTGGAAAGAACCCTGGGTGCAGCTGAAAGAGGAACTTGAGAAGGATAGGGCCAATCAGTTGAGGACAACCCGCCCGATTTGGGCAAAGGTAAGGTGCCTATGTAGGGTAATACCCTCCTCAATGCTCAGCGCAGACCTGTCCTCTAGGTCCACCTATGTACTCATTCTCCTTGGCAAAGAGTCGGCATAGCATAAGAACTCAGCAGTGCTTTGGACACCGGGAAGTCCACACCGCTCTGCCCCTCCCTCCAGGGCTATGCACCCCGGGTCCCGGTACATGCTGTGATTATAGTTCTGAAGCCTACCGACAAACAGGCTGAGAGCAGTTAACAGACTACAGCTCCCAGCATATTAGGTGGGGCGTGTACCACTCTGCCCCTTCTTCCAGGCCTGTACCTCGCCCCCGAGACTGGCACATGCTGGGATTGTAGTCCTGTAGCCCTTTGACCAAAGGGCTGGGAGTGTTTATAAGAATACATCTCCCAGCAAGCCGAAGGAGACGCACACAGCCCCGCCTCTTTCTCCACTGACGGGCCGTGTCCCTGACCCCATTGCATAATGGGATGGTAGTCCTGCAGCCCTGTGACACAAGTTCTGGGAGTCTTTATGAAACTACATCTCCCAGCAAGCAGAAGGAGGCATCCACAGCCTAGACCTTTTCCTCCAGTAATGCGCACTCTCCCTGAGCCGGGTGCATGCTGGGATTGTAGTCCTGCAGCCCGGTGATGAGAGGTCTGGGAGTGTTTATGAGACTGCAACTCCCACCAAGCCCAGAGAGGCGTGCACAACCCTGCCTCTTCCTCCAGTGACGCGCACATTCCCTGCGCCCGGTCCATGCTAGGATTGTAGCGCTGCAGCCCAGTGACCAAAGGGCTGGGAGTGTTTATGAGACTGCATCTCCCAGCAAGACCAGCGAGGTGTGCAGAGCCTCGCCCCTTTCTCCACTGATTAGCGCACTCTCCCTGATCCCGATGTATGCTGGGATTGTAGTGATGCAGCCCAGTGACCAAAGGGCTGGGAGTGTTTACGAGAATACGTATCCCAAAAAGCATAGCGAGAACAGCACAGGTCCACCTCTTCCTACAGTGACGCGCGTTGTCCCTGAGCAGGATGCATGCTGGGATTGTAGTCCTGAAGCCCTGTGACCAAAGGGCTGGGAGAAATAAAGAGACAACATCTCCCAGAAAGCCCAGCAAGGCGCTCACACGCCTTTCTCTTCCTCCAGTGACGCGGACTGCCCCGGCGCCCCGTGCATGCTGGAATTGTAGTCCTACAGCGATGTGATGAAAGGGCTGGTAGTGTTTATGAGACTACCTCTCCCAGCAAGCCCAGAGAGGTGCGCACAGACCTACCTCTTCCTCCAGTGACTAGTGCACTCTCCCTGAGCCAGAGATATGCTGAAATTGTACTGCTGCAGCCCTGCGACCAAACGACTGGGGTAGTTATGAGACTGCATCTCCCTGCAAGCCCAGCGAGGCACGCACAGCTCCACGTCTTCCTCCAGTGATACACACTGTCCATGAACCCGCTGCATGCTGGCATTGTAGTCCTGCAGCCCTGTGACCAAAGGGCCAAGAGACCACATCTCCCAGAAGACCTAGGGAGACGCACACAGCTCCGCATCTTTTCCCCGTGTCGCATACTGCTTTGATCCCGATGCATCCTGGGATTGTAGTCCTGTAGCCCTGTGACAAAAGGTCTGAGAGTCTTTATGAAACAACATCTCCCAGCAAACGCAGCGAGGTGTGCACAACCTGCCCCTCTTTCTGCAGTGATGTGGACTCTCCCTGAGCCCCATGCATGCTGGGATTGTAGTCTTATAGCACTGTGACCATAGGGCAGGGAGAGGCCATGGGACTACATCTCCCAGGAAGCCCAGCAAGGCGCACACTGCCCTGCCTCTTTCTCCTTAGACTAGCGCACTGTCACTGAGCTGGGTGCATGCTAGGATTGTAGTCCTGCAGCCTTATGACCAAAGGGATGGGAGTGTTTATGAGAATACATCTCCCAGTACGCCCAGGAGGTGCACACAGCCCTGCCTCTTCCTGCAGTGATTAGCGCACTATCCCTGAGCTGGGTGCATGTTGGGATTGCAGTCCTGGATCTCTGTGACCAAAGGGCTGGGAGCGTTAATGAGACTACATCTCCCAAAAAATCACAGCTAGAAGCTCAAAGCCCTCCCTCTTCCTCCAGTGACGCGCGCTGTCCCTGAGCCCAGTGCATGCTGGGGCTGGAAGTGTAGTCCTTCAGCCCTGTGATGAAAGGGCTGGGAGGGTTTATGAGAATACAACTCCCAGCAAGCCTGGCGAGTAGCACACAACCCCGCCTCTTCCTCCACTGACGCACAATTTCCCTGAGCCCGGTGCTGGCTGGGATTGTAGTCTTCCGCCTCTTCCTCCAGTGACAGGCACTGTCTCTTAGCCAGGTGCATGCTGGGATTGTAGTCTTCCCGCCCTATGACCAAAGGGTTGGGTATGTTTATGAGAATACATATCCCACCAAGTCCAGCGAGGCGTGCACAATCCCGCCTCATTCTGCAGTTACGCGCACTATCCTTGATCTTGGTGCATACTGGGATTGTAGTCCTGCTGCCCTGTAATGAAAAGTCTGGGTGTCTTTATGAAACTACATCTCCCAGGAAGCCAAAGGAGGCGCGCAAAACTGTGTCTCTTCACCCAGGCACATGCACTATCCCTGATCCCGGTGCATGATGGGAATGTAGTCCTGCAGCCCTGTGACCAAAGGGCTGGGAGTGTTTATGAGACAGCATCTCTCAGCAAGCAAAGCAAGGCCTGCACAGCCCCGCCTTTTCCTCCAGTGAGGCGCACTGTTCATTAAGGAGTGTTCATGAGATTACATTTTCCATCAAGCCCAGCGAGTCACGCACAGCTCTACCTCTTCCTCTGCCGGCGCGCACTGTCTCTGATTCCGGTGTATGCTGGAATTGGGGTGCTGCAGCCCTGTGACCAAAGGGCTGGGAGTCTTTATAAGACTACATCTCCCAGCAAGCACAAGAGGTGCTCACAGCCGCACACCACCCTCCCCGCCCCACTCTTCTTTCAGTGACCGCGCACTGTCCCGTGAACCTGGTGCATGCTGGAATTCTCCCGTTGCGGGATTCAGGAGGATGAGAGAGACCCCGGGTTGAAACAGGAGAATTTTTATTGAGTGCACTCAGTGTCAGGCCTCTGAGCCTAAGCTAAGCCATCGTATATTCTGTGACCTGCACGTACACATCCAGATGGCCGGTTCTTGTTTTAACTGATGACATTCCACCACAAAAGAAGTGAAAATGGCCTGTTCCTGCCTTAACTGATGACATTGTCTTGTGAAATTCCTTCTCCTGGCTCATCCTGGCTCAAAAGCTCCCCGACTGAGTACCTTGTGACCCCCCCACTCCTGCCCGCCAGAGAACAATCCCCCTTTTTCCTTTACCTACCCAAATCCTATAAAATGGCCCCATCCCTATCTACGTTTGCTGACTCTCTTTTCGGACTCAGCCTGCCTGCACCCAGGTGATTAAAAGCTTTTATTGCTTACACGAAGCTTGTTTGGTGGTCTCTTCACACGGACGCGCATGAAAGTGTACAGTTACGCTTCTGTTCACTTGTCATGAGACTGTTTTCTTTTACCCCCATGAACATACTTACCATAGCTTCTTTCAAATCTTATCTACTGATTACAGCATCTTGCACATCTTGAGAATAGGTTATATTGTCTGCTTTTTATCTTGTGAATCGATTACACTTTCATGCTTCTTCACACATCTCATGAATTTTTAAATTGTGTGATAGGAACTACAGGGACTCTGGATTCTGTTGTATTTCTTTGAAAATTATTATTTTAAGAGGGAGTTAATTTGAATAGATTCAAACCCCAATCCTTATCTCTTCCACAGTGGCATAGATAAAATCTTCATTCAGTCTTCTAAACAGTGTGCGTTTCTATATAGCAAAATATAGTATTTTATTAAGCTTTATTATTGTTATCTGTGAAATAGTTATTCAACGAACTAGTCTACTTCATTATTACTGGAAGCCACAACCTCAGTTGTGTTCACTTTCTGGATTTTATATAAGTGAAATTATATAATATGTATACTTTTACATCTACTTTCTTCTAGGCAACTTTATATTTATGGTATTAATTCATGCTATTGCAGATAGCTATAGTTTGTTTATTTAAAAAATATTTTTTACATTTTGGCAAAGTATACGTAAAATTAACCATTTTAACTATTTTAAGTGTTCAGCTCAGAGAAATTAACTACACTCACATTGTTTTGCAACTATTATTCCCATTCATAAGGATCTTTTTTCAACTTCCAAACCAAAATTCAATACACATTAAATAACAGCTCACTGTTACTCCCCCTCCAGCTCCTAGGAACCACTCTTCTACGTGGGTTTCCAGAATTTAACTACTCTAAGTATCTCATAAGTGGAATGATACAGTATTTGTCCTTTTATGACTGGCTCATGTCACTTTGCACAATGTCCTTAAGGTTCATGCGTGACGTACCATGTGTCAGAATTTCCTTATTTTTCATAACTGAATAATATCCCACTGTATGTATAAATCACATTTTATCTATTTATTCATTGATGATAATTCAAACAACACAGGTAATTCAAAAACCTTTTGAGTGATGTGAGTAAAGCTGCTATGAGCTTAGGTGTACGTGTATTATGTTGTGTCTTCGCTTTCACATCTTTTGCAACATACCAAGATGTGAAATTGCTGGATCATACGGTGATTTTGAGTGTAAATTATTTCGTTACTATGGTGTTGTTTTATAGCAGCTGCAGCATTTTACATTTCCACCAAGTGTACAAGGGTTCTAACTGCTCCACTTCCTCACCAACACTTGTGATTTTCTGTTTTTTTTTTCTTTTTGTACTAGTTATGCTGATGTGCATTAAGTGATATGTCATTTGGGGTTTGATTTTCATTTTACTAATGAAAATGAAAAGGTTTTGTTGAGTACCTTTTCATGGGCTTATAAGCCACTTCACATAATTTTTAGAGAAATATCTGTTTAAGTATTTTGCCCATATTTTAAACAAGTAGTTTGTTTTATTATTGCTGAATTGTTCTTTGTATATTCTGGATAGAGTCCTCTTTATCTATTTTTCTTTTGTTTCTTGCGTTTTTGGTGTCCGGTTAAAAGAAATCACTGCCAAATCCAGCCTTATGACATGTTTTACCTACATTTTATACTAAGAATTTTGTAGTTTTAGCTCTTACATTTAGGTCTTTGATCCAGTTAGTTAATTTTTTCTTATAGTAGAAGTTAAGGGCCCAGCTTCACTCTTTTACATGTGGGCACCCAATTTCCCCAGCACTAATTGTTGTAAAGGCAGTTCATTTCCCATAAAAATCATTTGACCTTATATATGAGGGTTTATTTATATGGGCCTTCTATATTACTCCATTAGTCTCTTTGTAGCATGCTATTTTGGAATTTTGTAGTAAGTCTTGAAATCTTTAAGTGTGACTTCTCTAACTTTGGTATTTTTTTCAAAATTATTTTTGCAATTTAAAGATCTTTGAGATTCCCCATAAACTTAAAAATTGATTTTTTAATATCTACACAAGAGTAATTGGCATTTTACTTCTTCATTACTTCCTAACTACTTTATTCTTTTGATACTATTGTAAATTGAATTGTTTTCAGAGTTTTCTTCTCAGATTATTCATGTTACTACATAAAATGCAGTTTGTTTTTGTATGTTGATTTTGTATGCTACTATTCAGCTGAATTTATTAGTTGTAATATTTTTTGTGTGGAATCAAAGATTTTCTACATATAAGAATATATTTTCTGTACACACTTTGATGCAGTTTATTTCATTGTCTTTTTTAATTTCTCTGAATGAAACTTCTAATACAGTGTTGAATAAAAGTGGCTGGCAAGAGCAGATATTCACTCTGTCTTCGGAGCTTAGAGGAAACACTTTTGATCTTTTCCTCTGGAATATGTTGTTTGCTGTGGGTTTTTATATGTGAATTTTACAAAGCTGGTTTCCTTTTATTCCTAATTTATTGTTTTTATTATAAAATATTTTGAATTTTGTAAAATACGTTATCTGTATTAATGAGAGAATACTTTTTAAAAATTTTGTCAATGTGGCATATGCATTGATTAATTTTCATATGCTTAAACTTTTGTTAAGAAAGGCTAGCTAAGTGAACCAGTGAGACTGGAAAAAGAATAAAGAAATCTATACTGGTTGTGATCAATTATTTGTAAACACCACTGCACTGAAACCACCCATATGCTAAAACTTCCTTTCATTCCAATAATAAACTCCCCTTGGTCATGGGTTGTAATCTTGCTAGTATGCTGCTGAATGTAGTTAGCTAGGATGTTGCTGACTAGTTTTGCATCCGTGTTCATAAGGGATATTAGTCTATGGGTTTTTGTAGTATCTTTGTCTGGCTTCGGTATGAGCTAATGGTGGCTTCATGGAATAAGTTTGGAACTGCTCTCTTCAGGCTTTTGGTAGACTTTGGAAAGGATTTTTGTTCTATAAATGCTTGATCTAAATCACTAGTGAAGCCAACAAAATAAGGGCTTTTCTTTATGAAGAGGCTTTTAATTACTGATTCCATTTCCTTAGTAGTTTTGTATCTATTCAGATTTTGTATTTCTTTGTAATCAAGTCTTGTATACCTAGGAATCTGCCCACTTTACGTTTTCCAATTTATCATCCTATCATAGTTCATAGTACAGTTTTTTAAACATTTTAATTCTTTGAATTAGTAGTAATGTCCCACTTTCATTTCTCATTTTAGTATGTGAATATGCTGTTAATTTTTTTTGTGTGTAGCTGAAAGTTTGCCAATTGTTAATTTTTTGAAGAAGTGAGAATGAACTTTTGGTTTTTTGGAATTGTGTGGTTTGTATAATCTCCATTGCATTTATCTCTGCTAAAAGCTTTAATATTTTCTTCTTTCTCTTTGCTTTGCATCTAATTTGGTGTTATTTTTCTAATTTACTAGGTGATAAAGTTATTATTTATTTGAAATCTTTGTTCTTTTTAAATGTATTTTAGTTGCAAACTTTACATCTTAGCACTCTTTTTGCTGTTTCCCTTAACTTTTGATGTGTTTTGTTTTCATTTTTCTTCCTCTGTAAGTATGTTCCAACTTCCTCTGTGATTTCTTCCTTTACTTATTTGTTGTTTAAGGGTATGTTGTTTAATTTATACAGTTTTGTAAACTTTCTAACGTTTCTTCTGTTATTGATTTAATTTGAGATCTACTACACAGCCCATCGTGGGGAAATCCCCATGTGCGTTTGAGAAGAGTGTGTAGTCTCTTTTGTTGGATGGAGTATATTGTATATATCTGTTAGATCAATTTGGTTCATTGAGTTAGTCAAGAACTCTATTTCCTAATTTATCATCTATCTCATTTTTCTATTCATTACTCAGAGTGGAGTATTAACATCTTCAACTATTATTTTAGAACCGCCTTTTTGCCCCTGTAATTCTGTCAAGTTATGCTTTCTATATCTCAATGTTTTATTATTAGGTATGGGTTTAAACTATTTCTATCTTCCTGCCAAATGGACAATCTATGACTATATAATGTCTTATTGTCTCTTTTAAGTTTTTAAGTCTATTTTGTCTGCTATTAATATAGTAATTCCCAGTCTCTTTTTCATACTCTTGGTATAAAATAATTATTTTCTTCCTTTTTTTTATAACCCTCAAGTCCTGTGGAAGGCTAAGAGCAGCATTACTTAATTTAAAAAGCAGATAAATCTTAAATCCATAGTTTAATATTTCTAAAAGCATTTAAATGGAAATGAGCTACGCAGTCTACCAGGAACGAAGGATATCAGTTGGGTCTAAGAATAATCATGTCAAAAAGCTCTAGGAGGAAAAGCTGCTGTGAATTAAGACTGTGATAACGGTCTTTGGGATCAAGAAGGAAATGGGGAATTGGGGATGCTCAAGGTCAGGTACATGCTTAGCAAAAGACCCAGAAAACCCTAAGCTCTCACCTCTGCATTTTAAACTCTGCACAAGTAGAAAGTAGAGGCGCAAGGAGAGATGTAACTTTATGCTGATTGGTAAAGGCATGCTCCAACACACATACATAGATCTCAGGTGAAAAAATCAGATATTTATGTTTAGTGAGAGTTAAAAAATCTGGAGTCTTACTTTCCAATTAAGGTTTAGTGAAAATATTTGGGGAGATTTGCATTGATCAATTCATCCTGAGGTCAAGAAAATCTTGATTTTGGCATTTGGAGCCTCTAGTAAAGGACTAGCCTCCTCCCAGAGGTGTTCTTTGGGCTTTTGGACTCAGTGACACACTACTGGTTACACTGATTTGAAAGTCAGCTAAGAGCTTGCTGCAGAACTCCTGCCAAACTCAGTTTCACCCATAGAGGGCTAGAGCATCCCCAGCTGTTTGAAATTTTATGCCTCCTTCTATCCTCTGAAGCAAAGCTGCTGTCTCTGTGGGGCCCCCAATTTACTGAGTGTTTCCTATATGACTGGTCCTGGTTCATAGATGAGTCAGGGAAGGTGAAACCTCATGATGTCCACTGGGCCGCTGTGGCTGTTTAACCTGTGCCAGCCATACAGAACCTGACATGAGTGGTTGCTCCTCTCAAAGGTCAGAACTCAGGGTTTGGGATAATGGCACATATTCTATCTGTTTGGTTATCTACAATGGAAACTGTAGACTGTCTGAATGTCTTTTGGGCTGCAAACTGGAGACAATCTCAGATGCTGATCTAACTGGATCACTCATCTAGAAGTCCATGGTAAGAGTTTGTTTTCTAGAGAGTGACAACAATCAAGCTGCAGATTGAACCTAAATCTGTGTCTAACGCAGAGTCTAATACTGCAAACCAGACTTGGGGTTGCTGGTGAAAGTTGACCTATTTGTCTCATGGTTGAAGAATTCCTAGACCATACCTAGCAGAGTAACCAGAAGTGGACTTTTGGCCCACTTCTTGAGATATCAGTCACCACTCTTGACATCTTCAGCATAACAGTATGCCGACACCATCCATACCATGTGTCCCGTGAAGTTAATCTGTGCCATCTTTTAGGTTTTTGAGACCAATTGAGCTCTGACTTCGTGGCATTTTTCACCACACGTACTAAAACAAGCCAACTCTATGATGTTCCCTCCTTTTCCACACATGATGGTTAGATAATTTGTTGATTAGGTATGGTTTATTTTCTCTTCCTGATTGCCTCCAAGATAAGGATGAAATGTTTGGGGGATCTAGGAATCTATTTCACAATCTTGGAATTTCGTGCTAATAATTCCTGGGTGAAATGTGACTTTCTTTCCCATACCTGCAATTCTAGGCAAGCCTGGCTTTTGTATCCTCTGAGTTGCATCTCAGCCTAGTAGCAGTTATGGGACTCCAACTTAGTTCCAGCTAACTTTTATGTAAATATTCTTGTCTCTATTTTACCTGGCTCTACTAGATAAAGTGTTTAGAAAAAAGTAGAGGGCGACTAGAATAAAGATGAGATTATAGGTACCGGAATGAGACTCACTGATTCTGTGGAAGTAGTGGGAGAACAACCTGGAACCTGGGGTATGAACAACACAGACCTCGGAAGCTACGGGAAACGGTGGGATATTAACAACTTTTTTTCTTTCTGAATAACCCCTGGTGCAGCCCACAGAAAGGTCTGGAAATACTATTAGTTAGATCAGACGGTAAGGCAGAGGCTGTGGATTCATCTCCTTTTGGTCCCCACATTACTCTTAAGAATCATTTGAGACTATTCTATCTCTCCGTGATGTAGGCATGGAACTCTAGTGGGCAGTGTGCACTCTCGGTGCCCATGGTTCCAGGCCACAGTTTTTCAGATGATGGACAACAATTGCTTTTTCCTGAAGAGACTTAGTACCCTGTGGCTGAGCTTAAGCGGGACTCTAGACAGCATTGATTGCATTTTCTTCTTCCTCTATGAACTGGGATTTCTCCTTCTGTTTTTCTACTGCCTAGAGGTGAATCTGTATTTGTCAATATTTAGGTAAATCAGAGACATAAATCAGGTAAGGAACCCTAGACACTTCTTCTAGGCTAGCTGGACTCTTGCCTATTTCCCTTCTCACTTTATGAGATCAATTATATTGGCACAGGTTGATACCCTTAGATAGTGTCTCTCAGGAGCAATTAGAGAAGCATACTTCTAGAGAAGCTGGTAGGACAGGGCAGGAGGGCCAATGAGGATCAAAGTTTCTGTCCAAATTTTTGAGCCTAGCTGTGTGTGGCCGACGAATCCAGGAAAGATCCCAGATCCCTGGAAGGGATTGTTAAGAGAGGATCCATTAGATTAGAATGCTAGGGTGGGTGTTCATCCGTCGCCTTCTGAGTGGGATTTTCAGGGTTAAGACTGTGGTAGGGCTGCAGAGAAATGCTATCCTGGGAAAGCCTCTGATCGAGTGCAACATAGGTGGCTCCAGCACAAGGAGAAGTCCTCTATTTGAGGAACATTATACTTGTGTGGATGTGTCTGTGCTCTTCCTCAGCAGAGCCCCACTGACTGAATGATTGTTTGAGAATTATGAGTAAAGAGCCCTATATTATTTTGAATTTAGTAAATATTGGAAGAGAAACAAACAATATTATCTACTTTCAAATTGAATAACAGCATGAGCAACTTCCAGGAAAATGTCACAGGAAGAAACTCCAGGGCCTTGCTCATCCCTGGAAACCTTGAAAATCCTGATGCAACCTGTAGGGTTAAACTTATCAATACTTAATTTTTTGCCATATAGATTTATCTTTATAAAAAATATTTTCATTGGACCTTTATTTTGATATATGCCATGAAGAATAAATCATTTATTTCCTTTGTGATAAGAACATCACATTTTTACACCTCATGTATAAATGATGCCATCACCCATGTAGTTTTTATTGCTATGGCCTGAATGTTTATGTCCCCTTTCAAATTCATATGTGTATAATTTTAGGCATGAGGCCTTTGGGAAAGTGGTGAAGCCAAGAGTTCTTCATCTTCATGAATGGAATCAGTGCTCTTTCAAAGGAAGTTGAAGGGAATGCCCTTGTCCCATGTGCGAGATGGTACCATCTATGGGGAATAGGGCTCTCACCATATACTAAATTTGCTGCTGCCTTAATCTTGCACTTTCCAGACTCCATAACTGTGAAAAATACATTTCTCTTATTTGTCCTTTACCCAGTCTAAGGTATTTTGTTATAGCAGCCAAGATGCACTATGACACTTTCTTAGACACTTTGGTTTATTTCTGAATTTTTAGTTTCAGTGATCCATGAGTTTTTTAATCAATCAAGATTTTACACAGGGCTTGCCAGTGTTTTTTTTTTTTTTTCAGAGTTTTCTTGTCTATTCTTGTTTGCATTTTCATCTATATAATATTTTATAGTAACGTGTACTTGCAATATTTAATGGTATCAGTATAGGAACAAAATTGAATTTATAAATAACTATAAGGACAATTGATGTTGATAATATTGAGTTTTTCTGCCTAAGAATATGATACAAATTGTCTATTTGCTTATGTCTACATTCAGATATTTCATAAACTTTCTATGTTTTTTCCATATTCCGTAGACATTTTTGTAATATTTATTCCTAGTTTATTCTGCTAAAAAGTAATTTGAGACACAATGAAATTGCAAAGTGTTTATTTGAGTAAGAGCAATTGATAAATTATAAAATATCAGATGGAAAGATATTGAGTGCTTCATTGACAGTGTAAGAAGCAAGTATTTATTTGAAAAATGTAGAAACAAAGAAATCATTTGATTGGTGGTAGCACAACTTTTTTTATTGTTTTTTGTTTGTCTGTTTACCTTGTTGGACAGTTTCTATTTATATAAGGTTGTTGGCTACTTCTGACTGGTTGAGCTTCATTTCTCTTTTTTAAATATGCAGCTACAAGAAATAATGTAAGTTTTGTTTGTATTTGCAAATCAAGCGAGGTTGAGATCACTTATGAGACCTAACTAATTTTGTCTGCTCAGAGATTATTGAGACATGATCTCCATTTTAATTTCCTTTAACAAATTTTCTGTACTTTTACTTTCCATCCAAACTGTAACTTATAAATTATTATTGTTGTACATATGTAGGCCCATGTTGTGTATGCTTTGAAGACATGTCCTGCATTCAAACTCATTTGTATTATGTTATTATTGAATTTGCCCCATTTATTGGAATTATAAACTGCAATCCCCCAACTACAAGAAGTATGAGCTCTGATGAGATAAGAGTAAAGATGAATCAGAAGTGAAAACAGTCCTCCAACCCACACATGCAGTAAAAACAAATTTCACATGAATACAATGAGTAATTATCTAAAATTTAAAGTACCCTGAAAACATTAATGTTTATCTCATTATTATGTAATATGGAAATTACAAGACAAAAAAATCCAAAGACTTACTGTTTAAATATAATTGAAGCTTTTTATATGATGAAGTGGTCCATAATTTAAATGTAAAAAGCCAATAGGAAATATATGAAATAAAATAAAATTATACGTAAAAGTGACAATGCCTCTATTAGATTTAACAGTATCTTACAATAGAATAAGTTGAAACCTACAAAATGGAAGAAAGTTTAAAATTAGGCAGATATTATCAGCCCGGTGAAGAATAAATACATATGTCAATAAGCATTTAATGTATTTTGTCTTAGATTTTATATGAAATAATAAAAACTAAGCAAACCAATAGCATGGTAGTTTCACCCTGATTGATTCAAACTGAAAAAATACTAACATTTCTCCATTAGAAGTTGGATTCATGGATTGACCTCATGCTGCATTCAAGGCACTTTAGCCAGGATCCAACACTCATTGCCAAGAGTCAACAGGCTAGAAGTTTGCTTTTAAGATGTTCCCCGGCCTGCGACCAAGACACTTTTTCCTGACTACTTCTTCAACTCTGACATAGGTTTTGCTGATATAAATGCAAACCTGGCTCTATACCTACCAAGTATCTACTTGGCCAGAGCTGCAAATGGAGCATTTAGGCACTAGGCAAGAGCTCTTCCCACGTTTCCAAGCACACTTTCTAGAATTTCCCAAAAATACTGACATTGTCTTTCAGACCCCATCTCCCAAAGAGAATCAGAGAGATGGTCTGGAAGCCATTTAGAATCTCCAGCCTCCAACCTAGTAACAATGGACTTTGATACAAAGACGCAACCCACTGACCTCAAAGACACCAGCCCAGATTCTGGGCATTGAATTCCTGCCTCCCCATGAAAGATCTCAACTGAGTCACATCAAAGCCCACACTCTTCTTCAAGGTTCACCTTCCAGACACGCTCCAAAACAGTCCCTCAGAATTGTCTTGAGATGAAACAAAAGATGATGAAGGTCCAGGTTTGGAATGCCTGCCTCATTCTTCACTCCTGAAAAGTCTACACCTGCTGGTTAGCACTCTCATACGTTAGGGAGACCGGGCTCTGAGTGCATCCTTTAACAGGACCTCCTGGCCTTTTCCTACTTGGAGTAGAGTGCCCAAGAATAATAGGGAATACAAGGCCTCCACTCTCACATGGCTTGATTGACTGATGAACTGATGTCGGAGGAGGAAACATATGTAGGGAACAGCCTGGGTCTTGTGAATCCCTGTTTCCCAGCTATGATGCCTGTGCAAATGGAGGGAGAATCCTCAAGTATTATTGGGTGGTAGACAGACACTGCCTAATAAAATTAAGTAAATGTAAGGTGACTTGAAGGGGAATTTATCATATGTCATATACAAAATTTTAGTTGGTCAACTTTATTTAAAAACAGTCACAATTTGTAAGGGCATTCAAATATAATTTTAATAGGGAGCTATGAAAATTATCTGCACTTGCTATGTAAGTGATTGAGTTAGGGGTAACTATCTGAAGGTCATGAGCTTGATATCTGCTACTTAATTTCATAAGACATTTACTTGCAAATGGTTGCCATTTTTGCTCTCACTATATGAAAATTTTTTCTTGCAAAGAGCATTCCTATGAAAGAAAAACTAGAAATTTTGCCAATTTCGGCTATTAAAACTATAAAACAGGTTTGCTTGTTATTCTTAACCAAATGCTCTTACAGATGACACATAGTACCCATGCTTTCATTGTTTTTTGTTTTTTTTTTCACCTTAGGTCAATTGCCTTCCATTTTATTCATCAAACTGTATTTACTGTAGATAGACATTTCAGTTCTCATGTGCCCTATGGATTTGTACTTTCTTAGAAGTATGAATTCTCAGGCTGAGTATATTGGCTTATGCCTGTAATCCCAGCAATTTGGGAAGCCGAAGCAGGTGGATCACCTGAGGACAGGAGTTCAAGACTAGCCTGATCAACATGATGAAACCCCATCTCTCTACTATTTACAGTTCACATTGTACCTTGCAATGAATATACATTTTATCCAAAAAGGCTAAAAAACAATGAAATTGGGGTGGGAATGGCTGGAAGTATAGGTGAAACAAAAATGACACATGATTAGTAGCTGTTAAAGCTGGGTGACTGGCCTGTTATCTTTTTTTTGTATTGTGTATACGTTTTTAATGTTCTGTAATAAAACTTGTAGAAAATGACAAAGTTTATCTACACTTAGCTCTTAAGGTCTTGGTTACCTTTGGGAAGGAGAAAGTGTCAAGGGCATGAGCAAATCTGATTCTTACATACACAAGTGTATTTATTTAGTAATAATTCATCAAGCATTCCATAAATATTTTGTTCCTATATTGCTGTATGCATGTTATTCATCAATAAATATTTAAATAGTACATATTTGCATAACAATCCTAAATTAATATTTTAGAATAATAGTAATGTTTTGTTTTGTTTTAAAGTGGGGCGTGTTCACTCAGGACATCGTCAGGTGTATATTAATGTTCCAAGATATTTATTTACGTTTTAACTTTTGGAAGAGTCCCCTAGGTCTTTTAATTTTTACCTCAGTACAGTAAGTAGCATGGTTTTAACTTTTTGGAATTCAGCTTTGTTTTCAGAAATGTTCTCCCCGAAGAATGATGCTCACCCAGGCCAGCGCACACAGCACAGTGGCCCGTGCACAGGATGCACTGAGCACACACAGCACTGGGTGAACCAGGAACAGAAGGAGAAGCCAGCCTGGGTCTGCAAAATATACTTTGCAGGAAAAGCAGGTAAAATTGAAAGGTCACAATTCAGCAGCAAACGTTTTTACATTCATTGGAGAAATCATTTCTAACAAAAGCTGCTGGTTAAAGCCATGGTTTTGTGGCTTGCCTACACATTGTAATCACCTGCACGACTTTCAACCGTATTTTTTTCAGATCCAGCTCCAAGGATTCTGATTTAGTTGTGCGGTTACAACTTGGGTTTAAGGGATTTTGAAAGTTTTCCTCCCCGCAGGTGATTCTCTTGCGCCAGGGGTAAGAAGCGCAGGATAGGGGTGAGGGGTGCTTTAGCTGTGAGAGATAGCCATGTACGCTTCAGGATTTGCCCCATCGCATATCTGGAGTTCGGGGTCTTAGAAAATATTCTTGCCCTGTTAAAAATTAAAGGATGGCTTCAATACAAACTTAGCTAGTTGGCTACGTTGCAGAAAAAGAAAATGCCTTTCCAGAGATCAGTTTTTTGAGTCAGAGTTTTGTTCTGTCAGTGAGGCTGGAGTGCAGTGGTGTGATCATGGCTCACTGCAGCCTTGACCTCCCAGGCTCAGGTGATCCTCCAGCTCCAGCCTTCTGAGTAGCTGGGACTGAAGGCATACACCAGGCATGGCTAATTTTTCAATTTTTTTTTTGTTGTTGTTGAGATGGCTTTCTCTATGCTGCCTGGGCTAGTCACAAACTCCTTGCCTCAAATGATCCTCCCACATCAGTCTCCCAAACAGTTCAACCTACACGAACAGGCAACCATGCCTGGTGTATTTATTAAAATGTAGCTACTAGAATATTTAAAATTCACATGTGCCTCACATATTATTTCTTAGAGAATTGCCTCATTTTTGAAATCTCAGGCTGCCTGCTCTAAAACCTGGATGTGCCAGGAAAGTAAAAAATCTGAAATTTTAAAATAATTGTCATTATATTGCTTCCATGTATGAATAACACATATATATTTTTCATAAATACAAATAATCTTACACACAAATGAAAATGCAAGTATTTTACAGTCAGGGCCAGTGTCCAGTGCATGAAGGAAGCCCTGCCAGAAAAGGATCCAGGAAAAACTTATAATTCTTGCTTTATTCAATCCAGTGTCAAATCACATATGTCACTCATGGCCTGAGGGGGCTTGGTGGGGAATTGAACTATATCCAATCATGGGTGCTGGAGTGGAAATTATCTAATCAGGTGCACAGCTGGAGAAGAATGGGCAGCTTTTTGGATCTTTTGGGATGCCTTTGCCTTTGCCTGTCTCTCCACTCAGAGCTCAGGACACTAGAGCCACCTCAACGCAATTGCCTGTTTTTTAGTTGTTTTAATGCTCCAAAAGAGAATTAGTTTTCTCATGCATTTTCCAAATGTGTGGCAAGAAGAGCCTCAAATCTACCACCCTGTTACCCCAGCCTAACTCTGGCTTGCAGTCAGAGTTTAAATTTCCAGTTCTTTCCTGACACTTACCAACACTAACTAACCTTGTGTAACTCACAACATTATCAACTGTTCTTTATTGTACATTTTAGACACAGTATTTTAATTCTGCATTTTTTCAAAAAGCAGTGGATGACACTTTAAAAAATATTTTTCATTTGTAAACATTTCACAGGACATGAAAGCACATAATAATCCCCTGACAATCCACAGTAAAAAAAAAAGAAAATAAAAGGAAAGAAAATATTTGTGTCCCTTTCTTTAATCTTCCCTTGGCACAGACACCCCATCAGAATGTCTTTGGGTTGAGGTTTCATTTCAGAAACCTCACAGGGCAATACATCCTCAGGCATCCTGTGTTATTTTCTTGGTTTTGGGTTTCAAAACTGCTTGAGAATCCCCAAGATACCAACAGTGGCCATGACTCTTGAAGTGTCTAGTAAATAGCATCCCTTGTGTCATCTCCTCTCAGGGAACAGCCCAAGGTATGGGAATGCAGCCTCTTTTTGGAGTGGTTGGATGCACTATACCTGGAAGGAATCTCCAGGTATACCTTTGCGTTAAAAGCAAACCCCTTAGGACATTAAGAATTTCTTACCCCAACGCTTAGTTTCCATTCCTTAGAGACACATTGCAGGCCAGGCAACTGGATGCTGATATTGAGGAAAAACTGTCCTCAGATTGGTGAAGAGAGAGAAAATATTTCAAAGGACAAAGAAACCCAACCTAGTGAGGCAGTGCAAAAACCTGCAAAGTAAAATGCACCTCACAGACACAGTGGAGCAGAGTGTAGCAGCTCCTGGTAGGACGCTCATGACCCACATCACTGAACCAGATAGAAGCAGGGAAAATATCCCAAGTAATAGAAAGGCTTGACTTGACCCTTGGGTCAGATATGTCTGTGTTTCAATCAGCATTGTCACCTTCTAATTTTGTCACCTTGAAAATATGATTGGATTTATTTTAACTTCACTTTTTCATTAACTGTAAATTATGTTTTATCAGTAGAGCTTCAAAGGTATGAGAATATTTATAAAGCACATTAAGTTGGTGAATTTTGAATAAAATTAAGTAGTAATATATTTCATTTGTTAAAAATTGTTACTTACCTATTTCTTGAGCAGAATGAGTGTAGCATGTCTCCCAGGTCTGTTTTTTATTTGTTTGAGAGGTGATTTCAAGCAGAATCTCACAGCTTACTGTTGGAAATGCTATCAGTTGTAAAGATAGGGATAGTATCTCTTCCACTACGGTGGTAGGAAATGAATACATATCTGCAAGCACATGAGGTAGATTAATTGTCAAATTACATAAATTTATCACATAAGTTATTCTTTTTTTCAAAAGAGAGAACTTGTGAAAGTGAATAACTCTATTCCATATGCTGCCATCTGGGTGTTTGAGGGTAATGTTAAGTTTTAGGAGCTGGGACTTTGCGCCTCTTGGAAGTGTTCACATATGATTAATTGTTTACTAAATGATTTGTTATGAACATAATTAAATTACATGTTTATTTTCTGAAAGGGATAGATACTTTGGCTTTTCTTGATGAATTATAAGATATAAGCCCCTTATAATGTTTTTATTTTATTTTATTCTGTTATTTTTTAGATGTAGTTTCACTCTTGTTGCCCAGGCTGGAGTGCAATGGCAAGACATCTGCTCACTGTAACCTCCACCTCCTGGGATCAAGCGATTCTCCTGCCTCGGCCTCCCGAATAGCTGGGATTACAGGCATACAACACCACACCTGGATAATTTTGTATTTTTAGTAGAGACAGGGTTTCTTCATGTTGGTCAGGCTGCTCTCAAACTCCTGATCTCAGGTCATCTGCCCACCTAAGCCTCCCAAAATGCAGGGATTACAGGCATGAGTCACCATGCCCGGCTGTAATTTCCTCTCTTTTATACCTTAGATTTGAATAATTTTTGCTGGATTCTTCAAACATGAAGTATTTTTTGAATTGAAAACTAACTGAATGACTAACTGGTAAGTAGAAGTCTTAGACCATTGACTAAAAGCTAAGGCCCACCTTGACCCTGCAAAAGAGGACCACTGAAGGCCCAGTTGATTATTCCTGGGTGTCTACCCTGCAGGTGTCCAAGCCTACTCACACCAACCATGGAAGGAGCCTTTGTCACTGCCAGAAGATATAGAGCCTTGGTAAGCTGGAAGTTCACAGGCAGATGCAGTTGAGGTTGAGACAGAAGAAATGTTGGGAGATTCTTTTTAGAATGGAATTGTTATTGTCCTCAGATTGTTTCTAGACTTGGTCTAAGAAGTTACCTAAGAAGTATTGCAACAAAGAAAAAGTACAAATGATTAGATCTTTGAGTATCTCTAAGGTTAGGTGGAAAAGGGCCTTATTTCATAGGGAGAGAAAACAAGTTTACAAAGAAGGTTGGAAAGGAAGCACACGATGGAGGGTAGCAAAATGAGATCCCAGATAAGATAATGTTTCACCTTGAACTCAGCCTGTTCTTAGGAGGGTTATGTATAAATAAGGGTTGTAGGTTTGCTGAAGCTGTGGGTGAGTCAAAGTTCAGGGGCTGGTTGGAAGAAGAGAAACAAGCAAAGTTTCTGTAAAGAGTATGTTATTTTGACCACTGAAGACTAAATTACTGAATGGTTGTTCATTTTTAAAAATGGGAATTTGCAATCTGTGTCCATTTTTGTGATAGGTTAAAAAAACAGCAGGGAGCATCCTCAAAGTCATCAGGGGAAGCACGTTTCTCTTCACTAAGCTGTTCTTTGAGAATGCAAAGAATGGGGGAATTTCTTTAAATATAGCTATTTCCAGGATTACCTTCACCCACAACTGTTCCTTGCCCTAGACATCTCTTCCATTTGGCTGTTTCTGAGTTATATTTTTATAATAAAGTAGTAAATATAATTACAGTTATTTGTTGAGGTTTTCTTTTTAGTAATTCTATCAAATTATTTAACTTGAAAAGGGGTTTATGCTAGTCTCAGATTTATAGGAGGTAGCTCAGAAGTGTAGATGGGCTTCAGGGATGTGTAACTCTCCTCTACAGTGAGAGAGGTGATGTGGGACTGAGCCCTGAATTTGTGGGGTCTGTGCGAACTCTAAGTTGTGTCAGAATTAAATTTTGGGGCAACAAATGGGTGTTGGAGAATCAGTGGGTTTTCAGGGAACTTTCCACATTTAGGATCAAAAACATAAAAAGAAAGACAATGTGGGGGCCTCTGCTGGAGAGAGACTCCAGGTGTCTCGGGGAAGGTAGGCTCTGCTCTGCACACAGGCTGCTACACCATGCACTGCCCTGTGGTTCCAGGCATCCTCCCATGGTAAGAAGGACCGACGACTCTGAGGGAAGAAGTTCTGAGAACAGATGCCTTCTACCCTCCTGCCAACCTGAGGCCACCATATGTTTTTCACCCACTGAACATACACACTGCATGTTGACGTGGTCAAGCCCCTCCCAGCACAGGGCTTCGGCATCAAGATTGTTGCCCATGCTACCTATCCTCATAGACTTTCCCACCAAAAACCCACACACGTGCCTACAAGACCCCTGGCATATGCTCTACCTCAGACACTGAATCTGCAGGGGCAACCTGGTTTTTTCACCATCCCAGGTTTCTGTGCCACCTGATCATAATCTCGTCTTCTTGCATGGACACAGAAATAAGTCAGAGTAAAGTTTCACCTGGGTCAGTATCTGTAGCATGAACCAGTCCTTCCACCAACCCTGTAATGTCTCCCAATTGTGGGTTCTTAATAGCACCTTCCCCTCTTTTACCTTTTAGTTCACCTCAAACCTTTTATTTACATGCACTTAGTGTGTCCAAGCCACCCCTCAGTTGCCTGAATCCAGCACCTACTAAAATTCAGATGTCCAGTAGTTCAAGACCATGGGCCTAGGCCATGTTTTTGCAGAAGGAAATACATATTAGAAATGAGAGGCTCTATCCTCCCATTTGAAAATTAAAAAAGATATTTTTTCTTTTCCCTTTTCTTAAACAATGTAATTTAGAGAACTTTTTTTAGTAATTTTTTGAGATGGAATCTTACTCTTTTGCTTAGTCTGAAGTGCAATGGCATAATCATAGCTCACTATAACCTTAACTTCTTGGGTTTGAGCAGTCCTCCTGCCTCAACCTCTTAATTACCTAGGACTATAGGCATGCACCTCCAGGCCTGGCTAACTTTATTTATTTATTTATTTATTTATTTATTTATTTATTTATTTATTTTTTCAAGACAGTGTCTTGCTCTGTGGGTCAGGCTAGAGTGTAGTGACATGATCTTAGCTCAATGCAACCTCCACCTCCCAGGTTCAAGCAATTCTCTTGCTTCAACCTTTTGAGTAGCTGGCATTACAGGCGCACAGCACCATGCCTGGCTGATTTTTTATTGTTATTATTTTTAGGAGAGAAAGGGTTTCACCATTTTGGCCAGGCTGGTCTCGAACCCCTGACCTCATTATCCACCTGCCTCCGACTCCCAAAGTGCTGGTATTACAAGCGTGAACCACCATGCCCAGTCATATTTATTTTATTTATTTTTTTATGGTGACAGAATTTCACCATGTTGCCTGTACTGGACTCAAACATTTGGCTTCAAGAGATCCTCCTGCCTTGGCCTCCCCAAATGTTGGGATTACAGGCATGAACAGCCGTGCCTGGCCTGGAAAACTTTTATATGTATCTTTTTTTCTCTGCTTCTTTGAAATATAAGCAAATCATTTTAACAGCTAAATAAGCCTTTTGCCACCTTCATGACACAGAATTGTCTTTGTCTAAGACCTGGAAACTATTGTTTTGTTTTTTAATTTGGCAAAGATTTATTGATTTTTTATTTTCAGTCTTTTGAAGTAGGCACAGCTCAGTACAGTGGCTCATGTTTTTAATCCCAGTGCTTTGGGAGGCTGAGATGAGAGAATTGCTTGGGCCCAGGAGTTTGAGACCAGCCTGGGCTGCCTAATGAGTCTCCTTCTTTATAAAAAATTAAAAACAACTAGCAGGGCATGGTGGCACAGGAGGCTGAGGTGAGAGAATCATTTGAGCCCAAGAGTTTGAAGCTGCAATGAGCCATGATCACAGCACTCTACCACTGTACTCCAGCTTGGGTAACAGACGGAGACCCTGTCTCTAAATAAATAAGTAAATAAAAAAAAGTGTTTTTCCATACATAAAAATAAGTAAATAAACAGATAAATAAAATAGACTTGGATTTGCTGAGAATAAAGCTAATTACAAGATAACAGAAAAGTGAGCACCAAAGATGGGGTTCACCCTAGCAAATGATTCCAGCCTATTAGGACACTCACAGAATTTTCCCTGCAGCATGACCGACATGAAAGTAGAATGTCATCATGTCAGGCTGTACCAGCGTTGGAAGACTAAACACTGTGGGGAAGAACCTCCCTTATGGAATATTATCAACAGGTGAGAGCCCAGCTCCTGCCCTGATGGGCTACAGAAATGAGTTCCTGAGATAACACATTGCAGAAACATGCATAGAGTAGTTTAACCTTTTTTGTGTGTAACCCTCTCACCATTTTCCTGCGAAATCCTCCCTAGTAATAGTGTTAGCTTTTAAGTTTTGAGGGTCCGATAGGACTGAAGCTGCATGCTGCAGGAGATACCTGGGGCCGGAAACTAATACAAACTGCAGCCACAGGCATAAATACTCATGGTCTAATGTAGAGTGAAAACAATACAAAATTCTTTATCGTTATTCGCACAAGTGTGTGAAGAGAGACTTTCCACATAACCAACTTGCCACTGAGACTAGTGAAGGCCAGATTCCACTGGAACAAGGCTATGAGTTACTCATGGGAAGGCCGTAGGACAAAGCCCAGAGATTTTTCATATTTGAGTCTGGGTCCTGGTTCTTTCCCGGTCTTCTCGGGTTTCTGTCTGTAGAGACCCCTATGTGGCTGCTCTCAGCACAGCCCAGTGCTGGCTGTGTTTGCTGGTTTAGTGCACCTGCTCTTTTTCCAAAAAGAGGGAGGAGTTGGCCACATTAAACTGAATGATGAAGCTCCTCATCAATCTGAATGCAGCTTTGTAAATGTGCCTAGAAACCACGCAAAGAAAAGTCTGTGTTCTGCCTTGCTTTGACCGTATGTGACACCTCCATTAGAAATTCTGCTTTTCTCTGCACTCCAGCCTGGGTAACAGAGTGAGACTTCATGATAAATAAAAAAGAAAGAGAGAGAGAAGGAAAGAAAGAAAGAAAGAGAGAGATGGAAAGAAAGAAAGAGAAAGAAAAAAAGAAAGAAAGAAGAAAGAAAGAAAAGAAAAGAGAAAAGAAGAAAGGAAAAAAGAAAAAAGAAAATAAAAGAAATTCTGCTCTTCAGATTAGGCACATAAGGAGAATCTGTATAAATCTCCATGAAGGAAGGAAACCAGAGGACAAGTTAAAGTCTTGGAATTCACATCTGAGTACACAGACTCATTCTCCAACCCTCTTCTTTTTATTCTGCCAGCTATGGCCTAGGTATGAACATGACAGGTACACAAGAGTTCCAACACCCGACAATCTACTTCAGTCCAAGAAGAGTGCCCTCCCTCTTGCTCCCCATCCAACTCATGGTACTAAGAAGTGGTGTGGAACTGCTCAGATGAGTTGATAAGAGAGGCTGGCTTGGAGGGGCCTGTCCTGGGCTGCCCTGTGTTATTTGTAGGTGCACCCGGCCAATAGCCAGGGACATCAGTGATGAGGGCTCAGTTGACATCTGTGTTATCAGATAAGACTTTTACATTGAGCCTTTGTAAGGCTGAAACTCAGAAATTTCAGGGCACAATGAAAGAGCATCTCACTCTCTTGAGCAACTCTCACAAACAGAGGTGGATACAGAGCTGTCTCAAGAATGTGGATTCCTGGTTTCTTAACTGCTGTTGGGTTCTGACACCAAGAAAGTGTGTTAAACTCTTCAAGGTTCCATCTACTGGGCCCTATGTTTCTGTAAGACATACCGAAAGGCCCCACTATGCTACTGATTGCTCAGTCTCCTCTTCCATGTCAACTCTTTATTTGTACACAATTATGCAAACACAACTTCCCCTTAATTCCCTGGAAAGACCTAAATGCAACCTGGGTTCCAGGATAGAAGAGACAGCTGGACCATAACTTTGTTTTTCTTACCATCTCTGGGACCCAGTAAAAGTCACTGTATTCAAGGCTTCCCCAGCCTCCTAACATGCACAGTGGTGATGATGCTAACATCTACTTCCTAGGGAATGTATTAGGTGTATATAAGATAAGACAGTGGCCAGGCGCGGTGGCTCACGCCTGTAATCCCAGCACTTTGGGAGGCCGAGGCGGGTGGATCATGAGGTCAGGAGATCGAGACCATCCTGGCTAACAAGGTGAAACCCCGTCTCTACTAAAAATACAAAAAATTAGCCGGGCGCGGTGGCGGGCGCCTGTAGTCCCAGCTACTCGGGAGGCTGAGGCAGGAGAATGGCGTGAACCCGGGAAGCGGAGCTTGCCGTGAGCCGAGATTGCGCCACTGCAGTCCGGAGTCCGGCCTGGGCGACAGAGCGAGACTCCGTCTCAAAAAAAAAAAAAAAAAAAAAAAAAAAAAAGATAAGACATAAAAATAATGATGTAGTGTCACCTGTAGATAATGCACACACTTAGAGATGGAAGCATTAGGAGAATAGGTGGGAGGTAGCATGGGCCACAACTCAAACAGGCCTGGTGTCTGCCAGGGTGATCTTGGAAATATCACTTCTCCACTGGGCCTCATTTTCATTCTGCTCCAGTATGAAGTTGAAATTAAATGTAGATACTGTCCTCTGGCATTCATATAGTTTAGCTGTGCGTCCCCACCCAAAACTCATTGTGTATTATAACCCCTAGGTGTTAAGGGAAAACCTGAGGGGAGATGATTGGATTATGGGGACGGGTTCTCCTCATGCTGTTCTTGTGATAGTGAGTTCTCACGAGATCTGATAGTTTCATAAGCATCTGGTACATCCCATGCTCTCACTCACTTCACTTGTCAGCCACTGTAATTGGAAGGTTTCTGAGGTGCCCCCACAATTATGTGGAAATGTGAGTCAATTAAACTTCTTTACTTTATAAGTTACCCAGTCTCAGGTACTCCATCATTGCAGTATGAGAATGATCTAATACAGGAATTCAACTTTCTAGTGCTTTCTCTTTATATTTAGAATCATATCCATGTGCCTTATCACGTCTATGACAGAGGAAGTCTTCACAAAGTCTCCCAGTACTAGGTATTGAGTGACTCAGTTTTTTATTGAATAAAATGGAATACTTCCTGATGCCAGTACTATGGCCCTTCGGTTTTGAGGAAAATATCATCTTGTATGTTGGCTAACAAGGAGATAGGAGTTCAAATCAAATTTGTTTTGTCATACTGGCTTTAAGGCAGTGATTAGAAAAGGCCTAATAGGTGGGTTCTGTAGGGGATTGCTGGAAGGAAAGTAGGAATATGGAAAGTCATGAGACATATACAGTCATCTCTTCTTGTTTCCTCACAGGTCACATACAAATTCAGGGAGAGTTAGTATGAAGCACACAATGGAAATTTGGGCTCCAAAGTCTGCAAACTGATGCTTCATGGACTTCAGTTGGCCATATTGGTTCCAACAATTTCAGCCAATGTTTAAAAAACTTATAGCAGTTAAAATTTTAGTGTTTCAACAAGCCGTTTCCTATCTTTCATTCTGAAGATCCATTTTTTAAGTCTTTTTTTTAACAGTATAGGGGGTACAAATTCAGCTTCTCTCCAATGAAACACAGAAAAGGATATCACTTTTGTATTAGTTCAGGCTGCTATGCCAAAGAACCATAGATAGGCAGCATATAGACAACAGGACTTAATTTCTCATACCTCCAGAGGTTCAAATTTGAGATCAGGGTGTCAGCATGGTTGAGATCTGGTGATGACTGGCTTCTGAATTTCAGCCTGCACACTTCAGGTTTTACCCTCATTTTGCAGGAGGATGAGAGCCCTCTGCGGTTTCTTGTATAAAGCCAGTAATCTGTATTATGAGGGTCCCACCCTAAGGGGTTAATTACATTCTACCTCCTTATAGCATTACGCCCGGGGTTACAATTTTAACACAAATATAGAAGAAAAATTATAGTAACTCTCAAGTTTTTTTTCTTTCTTTCTTTCTTTCTTTTTTTTTTTTTTTTTTTGAGACACAGTTTCACTCTTGTATCCCAGGCTGGAGTGCAGTGGTGTGATCTCGGCTTATTGGAACCTTTGCCTCCCAGGTTCAATTGATTCTCCTGCCTCAGTCTCCCAAGTAGCTGGGATTACAGGCATGCGCCACCACATCTGGCTCATTTTGTATTTTTAGAAGAGACGGTGGTTTCACCATGTTGTCCAGGTTGGTTTCAAACCCTTGACCTCAGGCGATCCACACGTCTCAGCATCCCAAAGTGCTGGGATTACAGGTGTGAGCCACCGCACCCTGTCAAGATGTTTTTAAAGCTCTAATTTTTCTCCTACTGGGTTTTTCTCGTTTGCGCCCTCGATCTTTCTGTCTCTTTTTGTGTAAACCTTTTTGTCTAATTCTGTCTATTGTATTCCTCAAACACAGGAAGCAAGCTCCAATGCTATGAGATGCTCCATGTAGAGACCCACATAACAAAGGGTGAGGCGGTGCTCAGACGAGTAGAGAGAAGGAAAGTCAGGCTCTCTGTCCACACTAAACCCTGTCAATTTTCACATGAGTCAGCTTAAAGGCTCATGCTTTCCCAGTCCAGCTTCAGTTAAGACCACAGCCCTCAGTCTCATAAAAGACCTGAAGGCAGAGGTAGCCAGCTGAACTGTGTCCAGATTCTGGTCCACACAAATTATGAGATATTATATGTTGTTGAAAAGTGCTGACTTTTAGGGCAATGTTGTCAGAAAGGAGCAGATATCTAACCTCATCTCCCAGGCCCTAGGATTCTCCATCCCTCTGCTTATCTCTTTCTCAGGCTGTCTGCAGCCAAACTAGTCCCTTTTTACCTCTGCCAAACTCACACCTATGAGTCTTTTCACTAAGGGTGGCTTCTCCCTGACACATGCTTGTGCAGATGCCTCCCTGCTGTCATCCTCATGGATTAAAAGTCACCTCAGTGAGGCCTGAGGTCCTCCCATGCAATAATTTTCCAGGTTTTCTTCTCAATAATCTACTTTATATTATAGTCCTTGCTCTTTTCTTTCACATATACTTGCTTTAGTGCTTTTGTCCAGCGGTCCTCAGACTGTTTGGTCCTGGGTTGGGGGGTGCAGACATGAAGTAATAATTTTCTGTACCACATGTTGGACCCACCAGGGTCGCTGGCAAATGGTGAGCGCAAGGGAAAAAAGACTGGCTAAGTGATTATATGGGGGATCCCTAATATCCCTTCCCCTTTTGACCACATGATAATGTGGACATCACTGATAACAACATGAGGTGTGTGACTGTTACTTGTTCCAGCTGCTCCAGCAAAGCTCAGTGGGCACCAGAAACACAGTAGGCTGTAACCACCTCCTGGCCATCACTAACCCTACAGCCCCAAGCAGGAGCACTACTGAACAAATCTGATACCTTGATTTTTCTGTCCTCAAGACACTGGTTCTTCAAGGTCCTAGGGGATAAAGTAGCAGGATCTGAAGGCCCCAAGTATAATGAGTGACCTAGGAATCCCGTTTTGCCCTCTCTTTGCCTCCACATTTTTGGTTGTGCTATTTACTCATGAGGTATCCTCCCCTTATCCAGTGAAATTATTTTCTACCACTTTCAAATGAGGACCTTAAGAACGCAACAGTAGCTGAGATTTTCCGTGGACCTCAGCCTCAGAGTCCAGTGCTCTGGCACATTTAACTCTGTCTCATCTTCATCTACCCAAGATGCCTCTCAAGTGGCCATGCCTCCCTCTGATTTGAAGGATCTGCAGAGTGGGTGCATTTTTGCAGTCTCAGAGCAAGAATCCAGGCTGGCAGACACTTATGAGTATGTGAAATCATCAAGGTCACCCACTTCAGGCACCCCTATTTATGAGGAAGAAAACAGGCTTTCCTGTAGGCACTGTCTACATTAGGCTGAGGTGGAGCATAGCTCATTTTACTTCCAGTTGCCCTCAGAGCTGGATGCAGAACCCCAGTCCTGTTATCTTGAAACTGACATGGAGAGGACCCCATGTGAACAGAACCCTGAATCTGCTCATTTTCTGTGCTCCTGAATGTGTAGCTACAGACTCTAATTTCGAAAACAAACCTGATAAGTGGGACGGTGCCAAGGCCTAGGAAGCTGGAGCCCTCTCTAATGCTCTGGAGCCTGCCCACCTCCTGAGATCTGGACCAGTCTCTGCCTCTTCTGGGGCCTCAGTTTCCCAATTGTAATGTAATGAGAAATTAAATGTAAAACTGCATAAACATATGCTCTGTGAGAATTTGGTGTCAGAGTTCTCAATACTGGATGATAATTTGGAGTGGGGTGGGTTTGGGACCCATGGGTTCTCAGGCCTCCTTTCACACCCAGTGCAGTAGGTGTAGAGCTCTGGACAGCCAGGTGTTCTTTCCTGAGCCAGCTGATTACAACACAATGGACCAAGGGCTCTGATCTTAAATATGGTTTCACAGGATACCCCACCTTCAGCCACCACCTGCTCTGTGCTTCCCATATTTCGGGGAGCTGATGACAAACCCCATTATAGTGAAGAAGAGCAAGAAACTAGACTTGTGGGCCTGGGGAAAAGAAAAAAACACTTCTATTTCTCCCAAACTGTAGAATCTCTTATCAAATATTTAATTTTGATTATATCTGAGCTTGATAATACATTCATGTATTAACAGCTGCTTAAATTTATTTTTTCTGTGAAGTGTGGGATAATGTCTTTGCCGTATTTTAAATCAAATTCTAAAAGCTCTCTTTAGAGTGGATAAGTGAGCATCTTTGTAATATAAACTTCACATATTTGTTGCCAGTTTGTTCTTTTTGTTTTTGTTAAAATGTTTTGTTTTATTCTGATTTAGATGTCTTTTGGGGTTTTGCTTTGTGGCTATTTATTATGACAGTGTAACTTCTCCTCTAATTGACTGACAGGTTTGTACATTCTCAATAAAATATTTTCATAAAATCTTTGTAAAAATTGTGTAGTCAATTTTACATTACATAAACATAAAACAGTAAAGACTATCATGATGAAAAAGAAAGATTGAGGGCTTAAAAAGTAAAATACGACACAGCTAAAGTAGTCTGAAAGGGAAATTTACAGCACTAAATCCCCACAAGAGAAAGCAGAAAAATGTCTAAAATCGACACCGTAACATCACAATTAAAAAAACTAAGGAAGCAAGAGCAAACAAATTCAAAAACTAGCAGAAGACAAGATTTAAGATCAGAGCAGAACTGAAGGAGATAGAGACACAAAAAGCCCGTCCAAAAAATCAATGAATCCAGGAGCTGGTTTTTTTAAAAGATCAAGAAAATAAATAAACTTCTAGCCAGACTAATAAGGAAGAAGAGAAGAATCAAATACATGCAATAGGAAATGATAAAGGGGATATAACCATTGATCCCACAGAAATAAAAAGTATCATTACAGAATATTATAAATACCTCTTTGCAAATTAACTAGAAAATCTAGATAAAATGGATAAATTCCTGGACACATATACCCTCCCAAGTGCAAACCAGTAGGAAGTCGAATCCTTGAATAGGCCAATAACAAGTTCTAAAATTGAGGCAGTAATTAGTAGCCTACCAACAAAATGAAGTCCAGGACCAGACGGATTCACAGCCGAATTCTACCAAAGGTACAAAGAGGAGCTGGTACCATTCCTTCTGAAATTATTTCAAACAATAGAAAAAGAGGTACTCCTCCCTAATTCATTTTATGTGGCCAGCATCATCCTGAAACCAAAACCTGGCAAAGACACACCAGAAAAAGAAAATTTCAGGCCCATATCCCTGATGAATATCGATGCGAAAATCCTCAATAAAATACTGGCAAACCGAATCCAGCAGCACATCAAAAAGCTTATCCACCACGATCTAGTCAGCTTAATCCCTGGGATACAAAGCTGGTTCAACATATGCAAATCAATAAATAAAATCCATCACATAAACAGAACTAATGACAAAAACCACATGATTATCTCAATAGATGCAAAAAAGACCTTCAATAAAATTCCACACCTCTTCATGGTAAAAACTCTCAATGAATTATGTATTGATGGAACCTATCTCAACATAATAAGAGTTATTTATGACAAATGCACAGCTAATATCATACTGAATGGGCAAAAACTGGAAGCATTCCCTTTGAAAACCTGCACAAGACAAGAACACCCTTTCTCCCCACTCCTATTCATTATAGTATTGGAAGTTCTGGCAATCAGCCAAAGAAAGAAAGAAATAAAGCGTATTCAGATAGGAAGAGAAGAAGTCAAATTGTCTTTGTTTGCAGATGACATGATTGTATATCTAGAAAATCCTACCATCTCAGCCCAAAATTTCCTTAAACTGATAAGCAACTTCAGCAAAGTCTCAGGATACAAAATCAATGTTCAAAAATCACAAGCATTCCTATACGCAATAATAGGCAAACAGAGAGCCAAATCATGTGTTAACTCTCATTCACAATTGCTACAAAGGGAATAAAATACCTAGGAATCCAACTTAAAAATGATATAAAGGACCACTTCAAGGAGAACTACAAACCACTGCTCAAGGAAATGAAAGAGGACACAAACAAACGAAAACAATCCATGCTCATGGATAGGAAGAATCAATATTATGAAAATGGCCATATTGCCCAAAGTAATTTATAAATTCATTGCTATCCCCATCAAGCTCCCATTGACTTTCTTCACAGAATTAGAAAAAAAACTACTTCAAATTTCATATGGAATCAAAAAAGGTCTTGCATAGACAAGACAATACTAAGCAAAAATAACAAAGGTGGAGGCATCATGCTAGCTGTCTTCAAACTATACTAAAAGGCCACAGTAACCAAGACAGGATGGTACTCGTACCAAAACAGATATATTGACAAATGGAACAGAACAGAGGCCTCAGAAATAACACTCAACATCTAGAATCATCTGATCTTTGATGAACCTGACAAAAACAAGTAATGGGGAAAGGATTCCCTATTTAATAAATGCTGTTGGAAAACTAGCTAGCCATATGCAAAAAACTGAAACTGGACTTCTTCCTTACTCGTTATACAAAACATAACTGAAGATGGATTAAAGACTTAAACATAAGACTTAAAACCATAAAAACCCCAGAAGAAAACCAAGGCAGTACCATTCAGGACATAGGCATGGGCAAAGACTTCATGACTACAACACCAAAAACAATGGCAACAAAAGCCAAAATTGACAAACGAGATATAATTAAACTAAAGAGCTTCTGCACAACAAAAAAAACTATATCAGAGTGAACAGGCAACCTAAAGAATGGGAGAAAATTTCTGCAATCTATCCATCTGACAATGGGCTGATATGTAGAATCTACAAAGAACTTAAACAAATTTACAAGAAAAAAAGAAACAACAACATCAAAAATGGGCAAAGGATTTGAACAGACACTTCTCAAAAGGAGACATTTATGCAGCCAATAAACAAATGAAGAAAAGGACATCATCACTGGTTATTAGACACACGCAAATCAAAAACACAATGAGAAACCATCCCACACCTGTTAGAATGGTGATCATTAAAAAAATCAGGAAACAACAAAGGATGTGGAAAAATAGGAAGACTTATACACTGTTGGTGAGAGAGTAAATTAGTTCAACCAGTGTGGAAGACAGTGTGGTGATTCCTCAAGGATCCACAATGAGAAATACCATTTGACCCAGCAATCACATTACTGGGTATATACCCAAAGGATTATAAATTATTCTATTATAAAGATACATGCATACGTATGTTTATTACGGCACTGTTCACAAGAGCAAAAACTTTGAAACAAACCAAATGACCATCAATGATAGACTGAATAAAGAAAACTTGGCATGTCCACATCATGGAATACGATGCAGTCATAAAAAGGATGAGTTCATGTCCTTTGCAGGGACATGGATGAAGCTGGAAACCACCATTCTCAGCAAACTAACACAAGATTAGAAAAGCTAACATCGCATGTTCTCACTCATAATAGGGAGTTAAACAAAGAGAACACACGGACACAGGAAGGGGAACATCACACACTGGAGCCTGTCGGGAAGTGGGGGACTATGGGAGGGATAGCATTAGAAGAAATATTCCTGGCCTAGGCCACTATTGCGATTTTCTAAATTTTGTTTCAAAAACATGATATGTTTCAAAAATTGTTATTGGTATGTAATTATATAAATATATAGTTCAGAAAAAAGAATCAACATTAATTATGCTTTTTCCAAAATACTTTATGGTTTTGAGCTCTTCTAGCAGTGACATTTTTGCTGTAGGTAATTGCTGTGTATCTGGTATATTCATCATAGCATACTTTGTGCTGTTTACACTTATCCTTCAATTTCCCACTCTCCTAAGTGTAAAAGTTCAAGGCCAGAGCTCCCATATCTTCCCAATATTACTTTTTGAAAAGAAGCTTCTATGTACTGTTTTCTCTGGGTCTTGATTGGATATATTGCTACAAGAGCTGAAAAATAATAATTTTTTTAAAAATTCGGTGATGAGATTAAAGTAAATATATTTTATAAATCTAATGTACAAAATGAGGTCAGCTGAGAAGACAACGACAGTTGAAGCAGAACCTGAGATCCTGTTTCTCTCCATTGACATGTGAACTTAACTACAATTGGGTGAACAAAGCCAGTTGAGTTTGTAGCACCCTACATGAGAAAAAAGCCAACCATAACCACATTTAGAAGAAAATTTGGTCACATTTGTGCACTACAGAACAGCGCAGTTAGATAAAAATCTGTCCATTCCATGATTCTCCTTTGGGAAAGAAAAAAGAGTGAAATGCGTATGCAAACTTCTGACTTACTGAGTTATACCGGGGTTATCTAAAGACTGGAAATTGCTTCCTTTAACATTTAGTGTTGATGAGAATAGAGACTGAGTTTAAATGACAGCTTGGGTCAACTGAGAATAAAGATAAATGCTTCTTACAACAACAGAGACTGTAGTGCCTACAACAGTGACGAAGGGAAGAGACTAAAGGCTCCTAAGAGGAAACAGAGGTAAACCTTATTAACAAGAAAATACATACAGTAGTCCAAAGAAGACACATTTTGACAACAGATTGGAGAAGCTCCCAGTATGACTACTGTGGCTGAATGTTGTCAATTTTCCCATGTATAAAGCTCTTTCATAAAGGATAAAATAGGTAGTGGTTTCTTAATTGATCAAAACCTTAACAAAACTACAGTAAGTAAAAGCTACCAGGAAATATAACCCAATCAAAGGAGAAAAATATATATTCAAGTGAACCTAAAGAAGTGGAGATCTAGGAATTTTTTTTTAACTTAAAATCTTTTTATTTTTCTTTACTTTTTCATTTTATGCAGAGGATCTTACTTTATCTCCTGGGACAGAGTACACTGGTGGAATCACAGCTCACTGTAACCTCAAATTTCGGAAGTCAAGCAGTCATGCCACCTATGTCTCCTGAGTAAATATGACCACAGTTGTGCACATTACCCCTCCTGTATAGTTTCTTTAAAAAAATTTGTACAAACAGTATGTTGCTGTGTTGCCTCGGCTGGTCTCAAACTCCTGGTCTCAGGCAATCCGACTGCTTCAGTCTGAAAGTGCTGGCACAAGCTACCATACCTGGAATTGTTTCTCTTTTAAGAAAAAATAGCTTTAAATCATTAATAGTAAAATAAAACAAAGAAAGGTATTGCGTAACGATAAAGGGTTCAATTCAACAAGAAGACTTAACTATCGTAAATGTAGATGCACCCAACTTTGGGGAACATAGAGTTATACAACAATTACTGCTAGACCTACAATAAGACTCAAGTAGACACACAATAATAGTAGGGGAATGCAACTCCCCACTAAGTGTTTGACAGATTATCTAGGCAGAAACTTAACAAAGAAATTCTGGAGTTTGATTCGACACTTGATCAATTGAAACTAATAGACATTTATAGTATATGCAACACATCATCTAAAGAAAGTAAATTCTTCTCATCTGCTCACAGAATATGACAGGCCACAATGGAACAAAGATAAAAATCAATACCAAGAAAATCTCACAAAATCACAGAATGATATTGAAATTAAACAACTTGCTCCTGAATGAATTTTGGATAAACAAAAAAATTAAGGCAGAAAATTAAAAAGATTTTGAAATAGAAGAGACACAATATAACAAAATGTCTGGGTTGTAGGAAGAGCTCTGTTAAGAGGAAAGTTGAGAGTGCTAAATACCTGCATCAAGAAGTTAGAATGATCTCAAACTAACAATTTAACATCACACTTAGAGAAACTAGAAAAATAAAAACTAACTTACCCCAAAGCTAGCAGAATGGCAAAAATATTCATAACCTATGAACCTGACAAAATCTAATACTCAGAATCTATAAGAAACTTAAAGAATTCACAAGGAAAAAATTACCCCATGAAAAAGTGGGCAATAACAGACACTCTTCAAAAGAACACATACAAGTGGCCAAATAACATGAAAAAAGCTTATCATCACTAACCATCAAGGAAATGTAAATAAAAACCACAATAAGACACCATTGTACACCAGTTAGAATGGTTTTTGTTAAAAAGTAAAATGATAATAGATGTTGATGGGGTTTTAGAGGGAAAAAACCACTTATACACTGTTAATAGGAATGTAAATTAGTTCAGCCACTGTGGAGAGCAGCTTGGAGATTTTCCAAATAACTGAGAGTTAAACTGTGATTCAACCCAGCAATTTCACCGCTGGGTATATACCCAAAAGAGAATAAACTATTCTACCAAAATAGCACATGCACTTGTTGGTTCATCACTACACTATTCATAAGAGGAAGGACCTGAATCAACCTACGTGCCTATTCATGGTAATTTTTTATTTTTTTGAGATGACGTCTCACTCTGTTGCCCAGGCTGGAGTGCAGTGGCACGATCTCAGCTCACTACAATCTCCACCTCCCAGGTTCAAGCAATTCTCCTTCCTCAGCCACCCGAGTAGCTGGGACTATAGGCGCATGCCACCAAGCCTGGCTAACTTTTGTATTTCCAGTACATACGGGGTTTCATTACGTTGTCCAGGATGGTCTCGATCTCCTGACCTCATGATCCACCCGCCTTGGCCTCCCACAGCACTGGGATTACAGGCATCAGCCACCATGTCCAGCCTATTGATGGTAAATTGAATTTAAAAAGTGTCACATGTACAGCAATACTACTTAGCAAAAACAAACAAAAAAAACCTCCTTTGCAGCAACGTTAACACAACTAAAGGCCATTATACAAAGCAAATTAATGCAGAAATGGAAAATGAAAATACTGCATATTCTCACTTATAAATGGAAATTAACGCTGGGTACACATGGACAGAAAAACAAAAATAATAGACAACTCTTAGAGGGTGGAGAGAGGGAGGGACCAAGAACTGAAAAACTGTCTACTTAGTACTATGCTCACTACCTGATTGATGGAATTACTCATACTTCAAACCTCAGCATTATACAAAATACCCATGTAAAAAACCTGTGTAGGTACCTCCTAAATCTAAAATAAATTTGAAATTCTAAAAAGAGGTCTTACTCTCTCACCCAGACAGGAATACAATACCATGATTATAGCTCAATGCAGCCTCAAGTTCCTGGGGAACTCAAGGAATAATCTTACGTCAGCCTCCAACTTCCTGAGACTACAGGAACATTCCACAATGCCTGAGTAATCTGGGAAAATATTTTTTACCAATAGCTTGTCACAATATTGCCCGGGGTAGTGTCAAACTCCTGGATTTAAGTAATTGACAGGGTTTGGCTCTCTGTCCCCAATCAAATCTCATCTTAAATTGTAATAATCCCCACATGTCCTGGGAGGGACCCTGTGGGAGGTAATTGAATCATGGGGGTGGGAATTTCCCATGCTGTTCTCATGATAACAAATAAGTCTCATGTGATCTGATGGTTTTATAAGTGGAGGTTCCCCTGAACAGTCTCTTGCTTGTTCCAATAATGGTGAGACCTCCCTAACCATGTGAAACTGAGAGGCCATTAAAACTTTTTTCATGATAAATTACGTAGTCTTGTTTATGTCCTTATTATCAGCATGATAATGGATTAATACAGTAGCCCTCTTGCCTTAGCTTTCAAAGTAGCTGGAGTCACATGCACGTGTCACTGTGCCTGGCTAAAACACCTAGCTTAAAGATGCTCAGTCAGCTAAAGAAGAATATAGAAAACTAAACAGAAAAAGAAAACAATGCATGAAGATAATGAGATTATCAAAGAAGTGATTAAAAGTGCAAAATAGAAACAAAGTGTAGAGCTGAAAAGTAAAATACCTGAGTTTAGAGATTCACTAGAAAGTCCAACAACAGGTTTGATCTAGCAGGAAAAAATACAGCAAGCCTCATAAGAAGTCATTTGAAATTATAGGGTGAGGAGGCTAAAAATAATTTAAAAAATTAAGAGAGCCTAAGGGAATTATAGGATACCATTAAGATGGCCAATATACTCATAATGGGAATTCTAAAATAAAAAGAGAAAAGAGAGCAGCAAAATTATTTCAAGAAACAAACAGTGACAGAGAACTCAGAATTTGAGGGAGAAAATGACCTAAAATTTAATGAAACTTTACCAACTGTAACTAGTAACAACACAGGGAGACCCATGACAAGACACATTATAATCAGAGATTCAAAAGTTAAAACACCGAGAATCTTGAAGTCAGCAAGAAAAAAGTGACTTAGCATGTACAAGTTTACCCCTGCAGGATGACCAGCAGATGTCTCAGCAAAAAAACTTACAGGTAAGAGGTTGTAGGATGACATACTCAAAGTGCTGAAAAAATGGCAAGTACCAGCCAAGAACACTATGTCTGCCAAAACTATCATTTCAAATGAATTAAAAAATAAAAATAAAGAATATTCAAGATCAACAAAAACTGTATAAATTTATACCCACTAGGCCTGTCTTAAAAAATGCTAAATAGTCATTCACATTAAAAAATGAAATAATGATGAGAGCAACACAAAATTATGTAAAATATGACATTTTCTAATAGAGAAAATTATGTACACAATCATAATATTCTTTGTAATTATAATGAAGATGCACAGAATACTTTAATTCTGTTATATATTTGAGACAACAAAGACTTAAAAATGACTATAAATCTGTGCCAACAGATTCACAACACAAAATGATATAATTTGTGACATCAATAAAACACATAGGGAGCCATAAAGAGGCAGGGTTTTATATGTAATAGTAGTTATTCTTGGTAATATCTATAGTAACAACAAAGAAAATACCTACAGTTCTTAGGATTTTGAGACTAGTCTGGGTAACATGGAAAAACCCTGTCTCTATGCAAAATAACAACTGTTAGCCAGGAGTAGTGGTGCACATCTGTGGTCCCAGGTACTCAGAAGGCTGTGGTGGGAGGATTGTTTGAGTTGAGCCTGAGAGGCAGAGCTTGAGTAAGCAGAGATTGTGCCACTGCACTCCAGCCTGGGTGACAGAGCAAGACCCTGTCAAAAAAAAAAAGGAAATACCTATAGTACACACACAGAAAGACATACACACACAGAGAGTAGTGAGAAAAGAATTAAAACATGTCACTACAAAAATCAATAGTACACTAAGAAAGAGAACAAGAGAGAAAAACAGGAACGAAATAGCTACAGGACCGGCCAGGGGCGGTGGCTCACGCTTGTAATCCTAGCAATTTGGGAGGCCGAGGTGGGTGGATCAACGAGGTCAGGAGATCGAGCCCATCCTGGCTAACACGGTGAAACCACGTCTCTACCAAAAAAAAAAAAAAAAAAAAAAAAAATAGCCGGGCGTGGTGGCAGGCTCCGGCAATCCCAGCTGCTGGGGAATCTGAGACAGGAGAATGGCATGAACCCGGGAGGCGGAGCTTACTTTGAGCCAAGATCTCACCACTGCACTCCAACCTGGGCGACAGAGAGAGACTCCGTCTCAAAAAAAAAAAAAAATGCTGCAGGACCTAAAACAAAAAAGAAACAAAATGCAATACAAAATCATTCCCTTTTAGTAATTTTTTTATATAAATCAATTATGTCAATCAAAAACATACTTTCACTAAATAAATTCATGAAACAAGATTCAACTCTCTGCTTCCTACAAATAACCAAATTATGATCTGGAACACATATAACCTGTACATGAAAGAATAATAAAAAATATTAAATGCAAAATCAAATACTGTCATGGTAGACAAAATACATATTATTTCAAAAACTTCCTCAAGAGACAAGAGGAAAAGGACAATAAAAACAACAACAATAAAAGCAACAACAATAAAGCAACATACAACAATAAAAGCAAAAACATTAAAACAACATACAACAATAAAAGCAACAACAGTAACGCATGTGCCTTACATCACAGTTCCCAAACATATGAAGCAACATTTTACAGAATTGAAACATGAAGTAGCCAGCACCTGATAACAGTAAATGACTTTTATATCTGACTTTTAGTAATGTAAATTAAAAAACAAACATAAGATGGATAAGTAAACAGAGGATTTCAACAACACGATAGGACAATTAGACCTAACAGTCACATTTATATTTCTCCACTCAACAGTAGAATCTGCAATACTTTTAATCACACATGCCACAATATTCCAGATAGACCACCTGTTAAGTTAAAAAATGAATCTTAGCAAATTTAAGCAGATGGAATTACAAAATTATTGCTAACTATGATACAATAAAACAAGAAGTTAAAAACACTAGCATGTCAAACAATAAGTAAAAATTAAACAACAAATTCTCAAACACACTCTTGTTCAAGAGGTTATAGACTTAATATTGTTAACATGTCACTACTACTGAAAGTGGTTTACTGATTCAATGTTCTTTCTTTTCTTTTCTTTCTTTTTATCTTGAGATGGGTTTTTGCTCTTGTTGCCCAGGGTGGAGTGCAATGGTGTGATCTCAGTTCACTGCAACCTCCACCTCCTGGGTTCAAGCCATTCTCCTGCCTCAGCCTCCTGAGTAGCTGGGATTACAGGCAAGTGCCACCAAACCTGGCTAATTTTGTATTTTTAGTAGAGATGGGGTTTCTCCATGGCTGGTCTCGAACTCCTGACCTCAGGTGATCCACCTTCCTCAGCCTCCCAAAGTGCTGGGATTACAGGCATGAGCCACCACCCCTAGTTGATTCAATATACTTTCTATCAAAATACCAATGAAACTTTTTGCAGAAGTTTTAAAATATTCTATAATTTTTATGGAATTTCAAGTGATTGCAAACAGCCAAATAATATTGGGAAAAAAATATAAAGATAGAGGCATCATACTTTCTAATTTCAAAACATACTATAAAGGTATAGTAATCAAAACTGTTTGGTACTGACAGAAAGACAAATGAATGATGAAACAGATGAGAGTGTTCGGACATAAGACCTCATGGGTTTAGTAAACTTATTTTTAAAAACTGTTCCAAGAATTCACAATAAGGAAAGAACAGTCTCTTCAACAAACAGTATTGAGAATAATAAAAATTTACAAGGAAAAAATAACAAAGTTACACCTTACCTTGCACCAATAAAAACATAAACTCAAGGCCGGGTGTGGTGGCTCACACCTGTAATCCCAGCACTTTGGGAGGCTGAGGCAAGTGAATCACAAGGTCAGGAGATCAAGACCATCCTAGCCAACATGGGGAAACCACGTCTCTACTAAAAATACAAACAAAAATTAGTTGGCGGTGGTGGCACACGCCTATAGTTCCAGCCACTCAGGAGGCTGAGGCAGGAGAATCTCTGGAACCCGGGAGGCAAGAGTTTCAGTGAGCGGAGATCACACCACTGTGCTTCAGCCTGGTGACAGAGAAAGACTCCACCTCATATAAAGAAATAAACTCAAAATAACTAATTTTTGTTAGTTATTAAAATGGAATTTTAAACTTTATTTTTCAGATATTTTGCTATCAGCATACAGAAAGCTGCTACTCTGTTGATTTTCTGCAATGTTACAGAATTTGTTTAGTAGTTCTATTAGGTTTTGGTGTAGTGTTTAGAGTTTTTCACATATAAGATTATTTTGTCCACAATCAGAGACCATTTGACTTCGTCCTTTCCTATTAGTATGAGTTTATTTCTACCTCTTGCATAATGTCCTTGGCAAAGACTTCCAGTACTATGTTGAATAAGAGGTCTGAAAGTGGGGATGATTAGTCTTGTTCCGGATCTCAGAGAGAAAGCTTTCAGCTTTTCCTTATTCAGTATAATGTTAGCATTGCTTTGTCATAAATGGCCTTTATTGTGTTGAGGAACATAACTTCTATTCCTAATTTGTTGAGAGTTTTCATCATAATGAATGTTGAATTACATCCAACGTTTCTTCTGCATAAGCAAAAGGTACAAAAATTAAAATACTTAATGTGATGGTTAATACTGGCTGTCAAATTGATTGGATTGGAGGATAGAAAGCATTGATCCTGGGTGTGCCTGTGAGGGTGTTGACAAACGAGATTAACATTTGAGTCAGTGGGCTGGGAAAGGGAGGCCCACTCTTAATTGGGTGAGCGCCATCTAATAAGCTGCCAATGAATATAAAGCAGGCAGGAAAACGTAAAAAGGAGAGACTGGCCTAAGCTCCCAGTCTACATCTTTCTCCTGTGCTGGACGTTTCCAGCCCTCAAACACCAGACTCCAAGTTCTTCAGCTTTGGGACGTGGACTGCCTCTCCTTGCTCCTAAAACTTGCAGACAACCTATTGTGAGATCTTGTGATCTCTCTAGGGAGCCCGACTAATACACCTAGCAACAAACTTAACTTAAAAGGTACAAGATCTCTACTCTGAAAATGACAAAACATGGATAAAAAATATAAAATACAAATGAATAAATGAAAAAATCTTGTGTTTATACACTGGAAGAATACTGTTAATTACCCAAAGTGATCTAGAGACTAACGTGATTTTTATCAAAATATCAATGACATTTTTTCACAGAAATAGAAAAAATATTTTAAATTTATGTGGATCCACAAAAAACTCTGAATAGACAAATAACTTTGAGCAAAATAAGCAAAGCTAAAGGCATCACTTTATCAAACTTCAAAACTTGCTACAAAGCTATAGTAACCAAAAGAGCACTGTACTGGCATAAAAACAAACACATAGACTAATGTGCCCAAGAAGCCCAGAAGTTAGTTTATGCACCTAAAGCCAACTGATTGTCAACAAAATTGCCAAGAACACACTTTAGGGAAAAGCTAATTTCTTCAATAAATGATGCAGGGCCATTTAAATATTTAAATTCAGAAAAATTATACTAGACCCCTGTGCCTTGCCATATATGAAAATCAATTCAAACTAAAGACTTAAATGTAATGCTATCAATTATGAAACTATTAGAGAAAAACTAAAAAATGCTTTATAACATTCGACGGGGAAAGGATTATTAAAATAACATGTCAAAACATAGGCAACAAAATCAAAAATAAGCAAACAACATTATGTCAAACTAAAATGCTTTTCCATATTAAAAAAACTAAAAGATTGAAGAGACAGCTTAGGCAATAAAAGAAAATGCTTTCAGGCTATACATATGACAAAAGGCTAATATTCAGAATAAATAAGAAACTTTAAAATCTCAAAATAAAATACACTTATAATCTAATTAAAAAAATGCAAAAGATCTTAATAGATGTTTGTCAAAAAGTGATACAAAAATGGCTAACTGGAACATAAAAATATGTTCTACATTACTAATCACTAAGGAAATGAAAATCCAAACCACAATGAGGTACCGCCTCACTCCCATTTAGAATGGCTATAATAAAAATAAATAAATAAATAAAACAAGTACTAATGAGGATATAAAATGAGTGAATGTATACATTGTTGGTGGAATTGTAAATTAGTATGGCCACTATAGAAAATACTATGGAGGTTTCTGAAAGAAATTAAAAATATATGTATTACATGATCCAGCAATTTTACTCCTGCATGTATATACAAAAGAAAGGATATCACTGTGTCAAAAAGATATTTGCATTTCCATGTTAGTTACAGAACTAGTTATAATAGCTTATATATGGAATCAATTCAAATGTACAGCAACAGATAAATGGATAAGGAAAATGTACTATATATGCACAGTGAAATACTATTCAGCTATAAGAAAGGATAAAATTCTGTCAGTTAAAAGAGCATGGATGAACCTTGAGCATACCATGTTAAGTAAAATAAGCCACATAGAGAAACACAAATACTTTATGATCTTATTATCTCACTCATTTGAGGAACCTGAAAAAAAGGGTTGATAGAAGCAAAGAGTACAACAGGGGTTCCCAGAGACTGAAGCAGGGAGATGGGAAAAGGCAGCTTCAAAAGTATTGTGTTACAATTAGATAGGAGAAATAAGTTTTTGTTTTTTGTTACACAGCAGAATAATAATAATTAATGAAAAGTTATCTCAAATTACAAAATAGCTAAAAGAGACCAGTTGTGGTGGCACATTCCTGCCATCCATACATTTTGGGAGAATGAGGTAGGAGAATCACTTGACGTCAGAAGTTCAAGATGAGCCTGGACAACATAGTGTGACCCTGTCTCTATGAAAAATTAAAACATTATCCAGGCATGGAGGCAGGTTCCTGTAGTCTCAGCTAATTGGGAAGCTGAGGTTAGAAGATTGTTTGAGGTTACAGTGAGCTAGGATTGCACCACTGCACTCCAATCTGTGTGTTAGAGCAAGATCCTGTCTCTAAAAAAAGTTAATATATAAAGATATAAAAAAATAGCTAGAGAAGAAGCTTTTGAATGTTCTCACCACAAAAATAACAAATGTATGAGGCAATAATTACACTAAGTACTCTGATTTTTATTGCTATACAACATATATACATAATTGTTTCCCCAAAATTTGTACAATTACATGTGTCAATTTTAAAATATGAAGACTATAATGTAAAATCTATAGCTGTAAAATTCCTAGCACAATACAGAAGGGTGAAGCTTCATGACAATTGGTCTCGGCAATAATTTGGGGGATGTAACATCAACGAATCAGACAACAAAAGCAAGGGAATACACATGGTACTAAATCAGTGTGTGAAAAATATCCCAAACAGGCAAAGCAGAACATGGAATAGATATATGCACATTTATGTACACTGTAGCATTACTCACAAACATACTACCTGGAAGCAAATGTACCTTTAAGGATGAGTAGATTCAACAAACAGGGCACGTATATTCACTGGATAGCATTCAGCCTTAAAAATAAGGAAATCTTGAAAAGTACTACAATAAGGACAAATCTCGAAAACATTCTGTTAAGTAAAACAAGACAGTCAAAAAGGAAAACTGTATAATTACACCTATGTAAAATATTTAGTCAAACTCAAAGAAACCAAGTGTTGTAGTCTCAGCAGTGCACCAAGATGTAACAGTCTCTCATAGTCTGAGATAGCATCGAAAGTTCTTTGTTCTACTTCTAGGGAGATTAAGGAGCGTGAACACAAAGGTGAGGTTAGAGTGAAAGTTTGATAAGCAAGAGAAGAAAGCTCTTTGCCAGCAGAGATAGTTTCTGAATGGGGTGACCTCTGTGAGGCTGGGGCCCAAGGTTTTTATGGACTGGGAAAGGAAGAGAAGGAAATGTGCCTAGTTAACAGGCTGTCTTGAAAAAAGTGTGGCTCAGCTTGGCCCAGGACTTTGACCCGGGACCAATCAGGAGCTGAAGGGATGATTCATAGATGCTATTTAGATTGGCCCAGGACTTATCAGAAGCTAAAGTGAAAGCTTGGCGCAAGAGCTTGTCCCGGGAGCAATCAGGGGCTGAAGTAATTATTCACAGAGGTCTGACTTACAGTCCAAATAAAGGAGAGTGTCGACCGGAATGCACCAGAGCCCACTGTGCTTATGCCCACAAAAGGAGAAGAAACACTTTCCTGGGAGCCCACTGACTGCACAAAGTACAAAGGCGTTTCTTTTTTTCTTTTTCTTTTCTTTCTTTCTTTCATTTTTGTTTTTGAGATGTACTTTCTTATTATTTATTAATTTATTTATTTTGAGACGTAGTTTTGCTCTTGTTGCCCAGGCTGGAGTGCAATGGTGCGATCTCGGCCCACAGCAAACTCCGCCACCTGGGTTTAAGTGATTCTCCTGCCTCAGCCTCCCAAGTAGCTGGGATTACAGGCATGAGGCACCATACCCGGCTAATTTTGTATTTTTCTCCATGTTGGTCATGCTGGTCTCGAACTCCCGACCTCAGGTGATCCGCCCACTTCTGCCTCCCAAATTGCTGGAATTACGGGCATGAGCCACCGTGCCTGGACAAACAAAGGCATTTCTATGCCAGGTCGGTCTTGTTCCCTTATCTCAGTGAGCTGGAGGTTTGTACAAGTTTTTATCCAAATATGCCAGAGGTTTTTCTGTCTGTGCAGCCATGGGCAGGTCTCCAAGCACAACACCATGTGCTAGTTACCTTGTTAGTGTCTGCAGCTTGATTTTTTCCAGGATTCCTTTTATGTTATGCAGGGATGACACACTGACCCAAGGGCCAGGGACTTTCCAGGGACCCTTCTCTTGCTATCTAACTAAAGCAAGCTAACTAACTTGTTTCAGAATTAATGAGTATTCACTTTTACTTTTGTAAGACAAAAATTATCTAAAACCTATTGCAAAAAAAATAGAACTATACTTACCACTTCTAAACCATATACTTAAAATGTTAGAAATGAAAATGGCATGTTTTTAACTACAATTAGAAATTTAGGACTACCTAAAAGGCACGGTTACAAAATCTTCAAACATCCCCTTCAAATAACAAAGGGTTCTTCTCACTTAATTATTTAGATTTAAACTATAAGTTGATTGTAAATTTAAGATTATTTCCCTGACTACTCACCAAGATAGAATAAAATAATCACTAGAAACCAAGAAAAGAGGGAAATTTATAGCACTAATGTCCACATCAAAAAGCTAGAAAGGGCCGGTCATGGTGGCTCATGCCTGTAATTCCAGCACTTTGGGAGGCTGGGGTAGGCAGATCACTTGAGACCAGGTGTTCAGGACCAGCCTGGCCAACAGCAAAACCATATCTCTACAAAAAAATACAAAAATTAGCTAGGTGTGGTGATTCACATCTGTAATCCCAGCTACTCAGGAGGCTGAGACAGCAGAAGTGACTTAAAACCGAGAAGTGGAGGTTGCAGTGAGCCGAGATTATGCCACTGTACTCCAGCCTGGGTGACAGAGTGAAACTCTCCCACAAGAAAAAAAAAAATTAGAAAGATCTAAAGTTAACAGCCTAACATCTTGGTTAAAAGAACAAGAAAACCAAGTGAAAACAAACCTGAAAGCTAGCAGAAGATAACAAATAGCCAAGATCAGAGTAGAGCTGAAGGAGATAGAGACACTGAGAACTCTTCCAAAAAAAAAAAAAAAAAAAAAAAAAAAAAAAAAAAAAAAAAAAAACCAACCAAGGAGCTGTTTTTATGAAAAAAAAAAATTTATAAACTAGATGGAACACTAGTTAGGCAAATAAATAAGAAAAGAAAGAACCAAACACAAATAGAAATAATAAGGGAGATATCATCACTGATCCCATGGAAATAAGAACAATGATCAGAGAATACTATAAACACCTCTATGCTCATAAACCAGAAAATCTAGAAGAAATGGACAATTTCCTTGCAAAATAAACTCTCCACAAGAGTGAACCCTGAATAGATCAATAATGTGTTCTGAAATTGAGGCAGTAAGAACTAGCCTACCAAGCAAGCTGAATTTGACTTGAGGTAAAGAGGAGATAGTACATTTTCTCCTAAAACTATCCAAAAAAAATTGAAGACAAAGAAGTTCTCTCTAACTCATTCTATCAGGCCAGCATCATCCTGATACCAAAACCTAACATAGATACAACAACAACAACAACAACAACAACACATCATGCCAATGTCTTTGATGAACACTGTGCAAACATCCTCAATAAAATACTGGCAAACCAAACCCAGCAGCACATTAAAAAGTGCATCCACCACAATGGAATTGGCTTTGTCCCCAGGATGCCAAGTTGATTCAACATATGCAAATCAACAAATGTGACTCATCACATAAAGAAAACTAAATTAAAAAACCACATGATTACCTCAATAGATGCAGAAAAAGCACCCAATAAAATTCAACATTCCTTCACGTTTAAAATTCTCAATAAACTAGGAACTGAAGAAACATACCTCAAAATAATAAGAGCCATATACAACAAACCCACAGCCAATATCATACTGAATGTGCAAAAGCTGGAAACATTCCCCCTGAAAACCGGCACAAGAAAAGTATGCTCTCTCTCACCACTCCCATTACAACTCCCATTGGGAAACCTTGTCCACGAAAATCAGGCCAGAGGAAGAAATAAAGAGTATTCAAATAGAAAGAGAGAAAGTCAAATTATCTTTGTTTACAGATGACCTGACCCTATATCTAGAAAGCCTCTTCGTCTCAGCCCCAAAGCTTCTTAAGGTGATAAGCAGCAGTAGCAAAATCTCAAGATATAAAATCAATGTGCAAAAGTAGCAAGCATTCCCATACACAAGCAACAGGCAAGCAGGGAGACAAATCATGAATGAACTTTCATTCACATTTGCTATAAAGAGAAAAAAATACCAAGGAATACAGCTAAGAAGGAAAGTGAAGGATATCTTCCAGGAGAACTACAAACAACTACTCAGAGGAAACAGAGTGGACACAAAACAAATGGAGAAACATTCCATGCTCACGGAGAGAAAGAATCAGTACCACGAATATGAGCATATTGCCCTAAGTAATTTATAGATTCAATGCTGTTCCCATTGAACTACTGACATTCTTCAGATAATTAGAAAAAAAAAACTTTTTAAAATCCATATGGAACCAAAAAAGAGCCCAAATGGCCAAGCCAACCTTAAGAAAAAAAAAAAAAAGCTGAAAGTGTCATTGCCTAACTTCAAACTGTACTAGAAGAGTACAGTAACAAAAACAGCATGGTACTGGTATAGAAACAGACACATAGACAAATGAAACAAAATAGAGAGCATAGAAATAAAGACAAAAACCTTCAACAACCTGATATTTGACAAAGTCAACAAAAAAAAAACAATTAGGGAAAAGTCTCCCTATTCAATAAGTGGTGCTAGGATAACTGGCTAGTCATGTGCAGAGAATTAAGACTGGAACCCTTCCTAACACCATAGACAAAAATTGACTCAAGATGGATTAAAGACTTGAATGTAAAACCCAAAACTATAAAAACCTTAGAAGAAAAAATCTAGATAATACCATTCAGGATATAGGCAAGAGGAAAGATTTGATGACAAAAAGACCAAAAGAAATAGCAACAAAAGCAAAAATTGACTAATGGGGTCTAATTAAACTAAAGAGCTTCTGCAGAGCCAAAGAAGCTATCATCAGAGCAGAAAAGCTAGAGAATGGGAGAAAAATTTTGCAACCTATTCATCTGACAAATGTGTAATACCCAGAATCTATGAGGGACTTAAAATTTACAAGAGAAAAACAAACAACCTCATTAAAAAGTGGTCAAAGGACATGAACAGACATATCTCAAAAGAAGACATACATGTGCCCAACAAACATGGAAAGCTCAACATCACTGATAACTGGATAAATACACATCAAAACAACAATGAGATACCATCTCACACCAATTACAATGTCTATTAATAAAAAGTAAAAAAGAAATAAAAACAGATGCTGGTGAGGTTGTGGAGAAAAGGGAACACTTTTACACTGTTGGTGGGATTGTAAATTATTTCAAGCATTGTGGAAGAGAGTGCAGAGATTCCTCAAAGACCTAGAAGCAGAAATACCATTTGACCCAGCAATATTATTACTGGACATACACCTAAAGGAATATAAATCTATTTTAAATAAACATGTATACATATGTTCATTGCAGCAATATTTACAATAGCAACGTCATGTAATCAATCTACATGCCCATCAATGATATACTGGATAAAGAAAATGTGGTACACATACACCATGGAACACTGTGAAGCCATAAAATGTAATGAGATGATGTCCCTTGCAGGGACATGGTTGGAATTTGAAGCCATTACTCCCAGCAAACTAATGCAGGAACAGAAAAACAAACACCACCTATTATTATTCTAACTTGTTAGCAGAAGCAGATCAATGAGAACACATGGACACATCAGGAAGAACAACACACACTGGACACCTGTTTCATGGCATGGGGGAGGGGAAGGAGAGCAGCAGGAAGAATAGCTGCAGATGCTGGGCTTAGTACCTAGGTGATGAGATGATCTGTGCAGTAAACCACAATGGCACACGTTTATCTATGTAAGAGACCTGCATAGCCTGCACATGGACCCCTAAACTTAAAATAAAAGTTGAAAAAAAAGCTTATCACATATGGACCACTGAACTTAAAATAAAACTTGAAAAAACATGAGTATGAGGTGGATTCCCTATGTTAGACCCAAACTGAGGATCCTGAAGCTCCTGCTGGGGGATTTGGGGCTGGGGGCACCCTGGGGAGCTGCTGCCAAGGCCGTCCACCGTCCCTACAGGCCGCCTCCCTTCCTGGCCTGTGATGGAAAGGAGAAGGGGTATGTGAACAGCTGTGGAAGTCAGACTCTCGGGAACTGAATCAGGCCCCAGCCCATGCCCCCCAGCCCAGTCCAGCCAACGTGCCCGCTGTCTTCCCAGCCAGCCAGCCGAGCCCTCAGGATTGTTAGATGGAACCAGGCTCCATCACCACCCAGGCATGGAGGGAAGATGCCCTGGTCCTTAGCAAGCAAGGCCTGGTTTCCAAAGTGCTCTCCGAAGAGGTCTCATGTTTGTCACATCTTAGAAGGTAACTTTCTGCTGTTCTTGCACCCAGCATGTTGGCAAGTCAAGTTCCCCCACTGAGTTCTCCACACATAAGGAGGGAGTCAACACCATTGCTAAGTCGGATCAGCTCCAGGGTCTCCAGTATCAGTTTTATCAGATCCCAGGGACCTGCCTGCTCCCAGAGGTGACAGAGAAAAATCAAGGAAAGATGTGTATGGTCACTGACATGGATGAAACCCTTGTGCATAGCTCCATTAAGCCAATCAGCAATGCTGACTGCGTAGTGACTGTAAAGATTGAGGGGACCATGAGGCCTTATATGGATGAGTTCCTGAGATGACTGGAGGAACTGTTTAAATGTGTTTTCTTCATTGCTCTCTTCATTCCAGCCTGAACAAGTATGCAGATCCTGTTGAGAGGTGACAGCGTGCTGGCAGTCCTGACAACCCTTGTTTGCTCTCGGGGCCTCCTCTGCCTGGGCTCCCACTTTGGCGGCACTTTAGGAGCCCTTCAGCCTGTCGCTGCACTGTGGGAGCCCCTTTCTGGGCTGGCCAAGGTCAGAGACGGCTCCCTCAGCTTGCGACGAGGTGTGGAGGGAGAGGTGCGTGTGGGAACCAGGGCGGTGTGCAGTACTTGCAGGCCAGCGCGAGCTCGGCGGACCCCGCACTTGGAGCCGCCAGCTGGCCCCACCGGCCCCAGGCAGTGAGGGGCTTAACACCTCGGCCAGCAGCTGCTGTGCTCAATTTCTCGCTGGGCCTTCGCTGCCTTCCCACAGGGCAGGGCTCGGGTCCTGCAGCCTGCCATGCCTGAGCCTCCCCACCATCCGTGGGCTCCTGTGTGCCCAAGCCTCCTGGATGAGTGCCGCCCCCTGCTCCACGGCACCCAGTCCCATCAACCACCCAAGGGCTGAGAAGTGCGGGTGCACAGTGCCAGACTGGCAGGCAGCTACACCTGCAGACCCTGTGGGGGATCCACTGGGTGAAGCCAGCTGGGCTCCTGAGTCTTGTGGGGACGTGGAGAAACTTTGTGTCTAGCTCAGGGATTGTAAATACACCAATCAGCACTCTGTATCTAGCTCAAGGTTTGTAAACATGCCAACCAGCACCCTGTGTCTAGCTCAGGGTTTGTGAATGCACCAATCAACACTCTGTATCTAGCTACACTGGTGGGGATGTGGAGAACCTTTGTGTCTAGCTCAGGGATTGTAAACACACCAATCAGCGCCCTGTGAAAAAAGACCACTCAGCTCTAACAATCAGCAAGATGTGGGTGGGGCCAGATAAGGGAATAAAAGTAGGCTGCCCCAGCCAGCAGTGGCAACCCACTCGGGTCCCCTTCCACACTGTGGAAGCTTTGTTCTTTTGCTCTTTGCAATAAATCTTGCTGCTGCTCACTCTTTGGGTCCACAATGCCTTTATGAGCTGTAACACTCACTGTGAAGGTCCACAACTTCACTCCTGAAGCCAGCGAGACCACGAACCCACCTGGAGGAATGAACAACTCCAGATGTGCCACCTTAAGAGCTGTAACACTCACCGCGAACATCTGCAGCTTCACTCCTGAGCCAGCGAGACCACGAGCCCACCAGAGGGAAGAAACTCTCAACACATCCGAATGTCAGAAGGAACAAACTCCAGACATGCCACCTTTAAGAACTGTAACACTCACCGTGAGGGTCTGTGGCTTCATTCTTGAAGTCAGTGAGAACAAGAACCCACCAATTCCAGACACATTGTGATGGGTGTGCTGGACCAGTGTGAGGTGTTCTGGGGTTGCCTAGTGCATGAGTTACGTTTGTTCCACCAGGGCTGCTATGTCAATGACCTCAGCCATCTGGGGAGGGACCTGAGGAAAACTCTCATCCTGGACAACTCGCCTGCTTCTTACGTCTTCCACACAGAGAATGCAGTGCCTGTGCAGTCCTGGTTTGATAACATTCCAGACAGCAGTTGCTGCACCTGATATCAGTCTTTGAGGACATGAGTGGAGCAGAGGGCGTCTACACTAGCCTTGGGCAGCAGTGGGCCCTTAGCCTTTCCTGCTTCCCAGCAATGGCCATCACAGTAGGGGATTTTCCCACACTGTGCCTTTATGATCAGCCTGAAAGAATGAAGCCTGGAACACCTACCCACATGGGCCTGGAAACAGTGAGAAGTGATTGAAAAGAGCTTTAGGACAGCTTAGATTCCCAGTGGGTGAATGCCAGACCAAGGATACCCAGAGCTACCTGCCATCAAGTTTTTTGGGTTCCCAAGATGTGGGTGTGAGAGAAAGAAAGAGAGCATGTGTGTTTTGTGATGAACTGTGGGCCCAATATATAGTGTTTCAGTAGGGGAGAAGCTGAAGGACAAAGACTCTTCCCAAGTTAGCTTTGTCTCCTCTCCTGTCACCCTATGAGACCCTGAGTTCCATAGGGATGAAGACTGTTGAAGGCTCCATTGCAAACCTGGTCTTTCTTCAGTGCTGCAAGGCCTATGCCAAGGAGAAAGGAAAAGTATGCCTTTGGGTGTTCCAGACACATATCTTTCTGAAATATTTCTCCAGCCAGTTGTTGCAGACAAAAGACGATATTTCTGGGAAGATGGGGACTTATGTCCAGACCAGTACCCAAACCATCAGGTCTTGTGGCCCAAAGGCTATGCTTACTTAAGTCCAGCCAAGTGCCTGGGATGGATCCTTTCTGCATCTCCTCAAGACTCACCACTTAGGCATAGCCTCAAACCTGTGGGGAAGGAAGTTGTCTCCCCACCCTGCAAGAGGACAAATAACTGATTTCTCTTCTTTCGACTCTGTTTTAAAATTCTCTTAAAAAAAAAAAAAAGCCTATCTGAAACTGAAAAAAAAAAAAAACAAGGAAAAAGATGTCATACTTACATAAGTGAAAAACATACAGATATATCTATAAGCAACAAACACAGCTAATTCACACATATATTAAACATCACATTGAGATAAAGTGTACCGAGCTAAAAATTATCTTTCAACTGATGATATCAAGCTTTAAAATAAAAATACATTTAACTGATCTGAGAAAACATAACTCCCAAGAAAAGAAACACAATAACACGGAATTGAAAATAAGAAGAGAGATTTTCATGCATAAAATCCTGAATACAACATAGATTTACAATGGAAAATAACCGTTTTGTTTTGTTTTTTTTATTTTTTTTTGAGACAGAGTCTTGCCCTGTTGCCCAGGCTGGAGTGCAGTGGCGCGATCTCGGCTCACTGCAAACTCTGTCCACTGAGTTCACGCCATTCTCCTGCCTCAGCCTCCTGAGTAGCTGGGGATACAGGCGCCTGCCACTATGCCCGGCTAATTTTTTGTATATTTAGTAGAGACGGGGTTTCACCATGTTAGTCAGGGTTGTCTCGATCTCCTGACCTCGTGATCCACCCGCCTTGGCCTCCCAAGGTGCTGGGAATACAGGCATGAGCCACCACAACCGGCCGAAAAATATTTCTTTAGATACCTACAGCATTCAACTGTGTGCACTCATGAAAAGCAGACAATTTAAGTCATTAGAATTTAATAAATTGAAGTAAAATTATACAGAAAATACATTACAATCATTAATAACAGGCTGTAATGAGAGGAATTTAATAAATAATCATTAAAAATACAGGATAATTTTATTATGTTCTCAATATGTTGCTGCACTTCTTACCACAAAACATAATAAAATTATATGACTATAATATAGATTTCAGGAGCTAAAAAAGCCTTATATTTCCAAATAAAAGAACAACATAAATTTTGCAAAATATGACGAGCATTACTGCAGTATAAAGTAAATATCTGGAATTAAAATATACCATCATTTAGATACAGACTAAAAAAAAGAATATAAATGTTAATGATTCCATTCTGCCTGCAGTGAGCTTAAAATTACAACCAAAAATTTTAATGAATATGTAGCACCTACAAGACATTTTATTAATAGCTTACATAATGTGGAAATTTGAGCAATTTATTTTAGAATTTTTGAATCTAAAAATCACCAGCTTGACATTCATTTGAGAAAGTGAAACATAAAGGAGAGTAACATAAGCAAGACGACAGAATGGGAGGTTCGGCATGCACATCCCCCACAACATAATGCAGCTGCCACAGGAAACATAAGTGCATTCATGAAAGCCTTAGAATCCAGTTCAGAGTTTGTGACACCCAGCTGGAGGCAAAGACCAAGGAAGACATCTTTAGAGGGTAAGTACTTGACCAAGTGGCAAGCTTGCCAATCATGGTCCTCGGTTCAAAACAGAATACTACCACATCTTACTGTAGACTTGGCTATGACTCATTTGAACTTGGTCCTGCCACTGCAAAAATCTGTGAAAAACACAAGAGAATTCATACTCATCTGAGACTTAGGTGACAGGCCTGCAGAACTTGGTTCTCTCTATAGTCCCTGAATCAGGCAAAACACACCTTCTTTCCTTCTCCAGCCATGGTCTGGAAGAAATCTTCACATTGATATGACGAAATGCTAACTAACAATATGAAAAATACTAAAGTATAAATGTCACTAAAAATGGTAAATACATACTGAAATTCAGAATACTCTAAATTGTTATCATCTTAAACTAGACTATTAAAATACAAGAGGTTTTACATAAGTCTCATGATAACCACTGGGGGGAAAAAAACATAGTAAAGAAAAAGAGAAAGTAATTAAAGCATACACAAACAACAAAAATTACACATTGGATACAGTGGCTCCTGCTTATAATTCCAACACTTTTGGAGGCCAAGGTGGAAGAATCATAAGCTCCTTGGGTGTTGTGGTACGTGTCTGTAGTCCAAGCTACTTGGGTGGCTAAGGGGGGAGGATTGCTTGAGCCCAGGAGATTGAGGCTACAGTGAGCTGTGATATGCCACTGAACTTCAGTCTGAGCAAGAAAGCATAACTTTGTATCAACAAAAATGAACAATACCACAGGAAAGACAGAACCAGAAAAAAAAGAAGCAAACTTAAAATGGACAGAAAACTACAAATGTACAATAGTAACTGCTTACCTATCACTACCTTACAAATAAAAAGATTAAATTATCTACTAAACAGATACTTCTGTAGACTGAATGTCATCTCCAAAATTTAGGATAAAATGGCCAATGTGATAGAATTAAGAGGTGGAACCTTTAAAAATTAATTAAGCTATAAGCACTCTGCCCTCATGAATGGATTAATGTTCTTATTATGGGAATGGGTTAATTTTAACAAGAATGGATCTGTTATATATTAAAAAAAAAAGCTCTCTCTCCCTCACATCTTTGGCCATGTTATTATCCAGCAACTAGACCTTCAACAGATACCAGTAACGTTCTTTTACCTTCCCAGCCTCCAGAATCATGAGTCAAATAAAATTCTGTTCTTTATTAATTACCAGTCTGTGATATTCTGTTATAACAGCCAAAAGAGACTAAAGCAGACAGAGTGGATAAATGAAACTTTTAAACCTCGTAATATGCTGCTTACAAGAGACTCAATTATGAATTAAGAGCATAGGCTAAAAGTGAAAGGATAGAAAATGATATTCCATGCAAATAATAGCCAAAGGAGTTCAATGGTAGTTATGCTTAAATTAGACAAAATAGACTTTCTAGCAATGTCTCTCACAAGCATGAAATGAGTTTACCATACAATAATAATAGAGGTTAATTTGTCAAGTGAATATAGCTATATATATTTATGCACCCAAAAGGGAGGCTTCTAAATATAAAAAGCAAATATTGCCAGAACTGTAGGGAGAAGTAGAAAGAAATCCAATAATAGAAAACTTTAATGAAATGTATAATAAAGGACAAATAGTTAACAGCATTGTGAATTTGCAAGGGAAAGCTGTTCTCCTGTGTTGCATTTGAGAATGCAGCAAAGAAAGTGGGAACTGATAATTTTACCACAAGCCTGAGTTAGGCTGAAAAACAGGGTGGTCGATTAGAGGTTCCACTTGCCATATAGTAAAAAAAACACAGGAGAAAACCAGTCCTCCTCTGGAGAGTTAAAATAATTAAAGAGCAGAAAATTAGACTAAAGTGGCTCTAGTGTCCTGGGTTCATAGGTTAAAAAAAAAAAAAAAACTAAAACCTAACTCAAATACATTTCCTATAAACCATTATCTTAGCCTGAAACAAAATGCACGTTTAACCAATGGCAAACATGCAATTAACCTCTGAATATGTAACCAGGACATTTCCATCTGGATAGTTCAAATAAGGTGACTACATAACTGGAACCAATTTTTGAATTTGGGTTGCTTTCTCATGCATCTTATAAAAGCCTTTCCTTTATGCCCCTCTGGTGGACCAGAAATCATGGCTGGGTGCTTTCCATTTCACCAATCACTGTTTGTTCAGATAAACTGGTTAACGTTTAACATAGACTCCCGTTAATTTTTAACAAGAGAGACTGTGGACCCCACGGGCCGCAGCTCCTCCCACGCAAACACCCAGTCGCGGTTTTTCCCTGATGACCCACCAGGCCTCCCTGAACAATCTGGGAAATACTCATGGCTGTGGGCGCAGAGCAGGGCGCTGCCCAGGGACAGGACCGGATGGGCCAGGCCGGATGTGGGGGTCCTCGCTGCTGGCCCAGCGGCCATCTTGCAGCCACAGGGGACTGAGGGCCAAGCTGCGGGAGACTCGGAGCTAACCGTGGGGAGGCCGGTCCTGCCGGTTTCACAGCCTGCTCTCCCCTCTCGGGATGCCGAACCCCGTATACTCACCATTTCCCAGCTTCCAGGATGTCCTGGCACCTTAACTGTGCGTCCCCAAGGACCTACAGATCACAGGGCAACAGGGGCCGTGAAAGAGTAGCCCAGGGCTCCCAAGGTGCAGGAGGCGAAGGAAGAGACAGATCCCAAGTTCCTGTGCCAGCGCCAGCGAGAGACACAGATCCCGCCAAACGCCGGAAGCCACGCCCTCCTCTCCTGTCCTCTCCAACTGCGCGCCTGATTGGGCGGTTCCCACATCAGTGTCAATGACTGGATAAAACTCCAGGACTCACCCACCCCCGCCTGACTCCTGCCCCTACCCCCACTCCCCCTCAGCCTTAGTGCATTTTTGTTAGTTTGTTTTACTTTAAGTTCTGGAATACATGTGCAGAACGTGCAGGTTTGTTACATAGTTTTACATGTGCCATGGTGGTTTGCTACTTCTATCAACCTGACGTCTAGGATTTAAGCCCCATATGCATTAGGTATTTGTCCTAATTTTCTCCCTCCCCTTGACCTCAACATCCTAACAGGCCCCAGTGTGTGATGTTTTGTTCCCGGTGTCCATGTGTTCTCATTGTTCAACTCCCACATATGAGTGAGAACATATGGTGTTTTGCTTCCTGTTCCCGTGTTAGTTTGCTGAAGAGAATGGTTTCCAGCGTCATCCACGTCACTGCAAAGGACATGAACTCATTCTTTTTATGGCTGAATATTATTTCATGGTGTATATGTGCCACATTTTCTTTTTCCAGTCTATCAATGATGGGCATTAGGTTGGTTCCAAGTCTTTGTTATTGTAAACAGTGCTGCAATAGATATATGAGTTCATGTGTCTTTATGCTAGAATGATTTATATTCCTTTGGGTATATACCCAGTAATGAGATTGCTGGGTCAAATGGTATTTCTGGTTCTAGATACTTAGGGAATCACCACACTGTCTTCCATAACGGTTGAACTAATTTACACCACCACCCCCCAGCAGTGTAAAAGCGTTTCTATTTCTCCACAGCCTCACCAGCATCTGTTGTTCCTGACATTTTAATAACTGCCATTCCAAATGGTGTGAGATGGTATCCCATTGTGGTTTTGATTTGCATTTCTCTAACTATCAGTGATGATGAGCTTTTTTCTTTTTCCTTTTTGTGTGTTTGTTGACCACATAAATGTCGTCGTCTTCTTCTTCTTCTTCTTCTTCTTCTTCTTCTTCTTCTTCTTCTTCTTCTTCTCTCCTTCTTCCTTTTCTTTTTATTTATTTTATTTATTATTATTTTTAAGATGGAGTCTTGCTCTGTCACCCAGGCTGGAGTGCAGTGGCAGGATCTCAGCTCACTGCAACATCTGCCACCCAGGTTCAAGTGATTCTCCTGCCTTATCCTCCCAAGAAGCTGGAATTGCAGCCACCCGCCAAAACAACATGCTAATTTTTTGTGTTTTTAGTAGAGACATGGTTTCACCATGTTGCCCAGGCTAGTCTTGAACACCTGACCTCATGATCCACCTGCCTCCATGGCTGAAAGTCCTGGGATTACAGGCTTGATCAACCACGCCCAGCCAAATGTCTTCTTTTGAGAATAGTCTGTTCATATTCTTTACTCACTTTCTGATGTTTTGTGTGTGTGTGTGTGTGAATTTAAGTTCCTTGTAGATTCTGGATATTAGACCTCTGACACATGGATAGATTGCAAAAATTTTCTGTCATTCTGTAGGTTGCCTGGTCACTCTGATGATAGATTCTTTTGCTGTGCAGAAGCTCGTTAGTTTAATTAGATCTCATTTGTCAATTTTAGCTTTTGTTGTGATTGCTTTTGGTATTTTATTCCTGAAGTCTTTGCTCATGACTATGTCCTGAATGGTATTGCCTAGGTTTTCTTCTAGGGTTTTTGTGGTTTGGTGTTTTATATTTAAGACTTTAATCCATCTTGAGATAATGTTTGTATAAGGTGTAAGGAAGGGGTCCAGTTTCTGTTTTCTGAATGTGACTAGCCAGTTCTTTAAGCACCATTTGTTAAGTAGTAAATCTTTCTCCATTGCTTGTTTTTGTCAGGTTTGTTAGAGATAAGATGGTTGTAGATGTGTGATGTTATTACTGAGGCCTCTGTTCTGTTCCATTCGTCTATATATCTGTTTTGGTATCAGTACTGTGCTGTTTTGGTTACTGCAGCCTTGTAGTATAGTTTGAAGTCGGGTAGCAGGATGCCTCAAGCTTTGGTGTTTTTGCTTAGGATTGTTTTGGGTTGACAGGCAAACAGGCTCGTATAGTAGGGGTCACATGCCCAGAGTATCACAGCTAATTAAGACGTGAGCTGAGACTTGAAATGCACATGCTCCTTCCCTTACCTGGGTCTGTTGTATAATGCGTCTTAGCAGCTATTTAACAGTAGGAATTAGAACATTTGGACATCTTTTTAACAACTTTTTAACCTGCATTTTGATAATGCAGGAAAGACCTTCATCCCATCCCTGAGCCCCTCTCTCACCACGCTACATCCCACTGCTGACCACATTGTAGGGTGGCCATTAGGAATCAGGCGGGCAGCGGGGGCCGGGAATAAATAAGCAAGGATTATGCTGCCCAAATTTGCTCATCTTAGAAAGTCTCCTCAACCATTCTGTATGAAGTGATTATTCCAGGGTAATTGTGGCCCGACTGCGCTGCATGTCAGTCTGACTTGTCTTTTTGAAAATCACTGGATTACTCTCATGAACGGGGGTATTTCTCTTTCTATTTGAAAACGGCCAACTGTCCTCTGCAGGTGTCCTGATTTGTTAGTTGAGACCCTGAAGGTAGCGGTGAGAAAATATTTGGGCCACATCAGAATACCTATTCTCAGCTGGAAGATATATAGAAATTTCTTAATAATATCTAACCATTTTCTCAATAACCATTATATTTAACATTGATAGCTTGGAGGGCAGGGAAGGACACAGATGACATAATCTTAAAATTTAATTTGTTTATAAGGTTTTTTTTTTGTTCTTGTTTAGTTTTGCTTAGTTTTTGGATACAAGGTCTTGCTCTGGTGCCCAGGCTGGAGGACAGTGGCATAATCATAACTCATAATTTGGTTGTAACTGTTCTTTAAAATATATTTTTGCTGAGAGTGGTAGCTCAGACCTGTAATCTAAACACTTTGGGTGGCCAAGGTGGGATGATCGCTTGATCCCAGGAGTTCAAGACGTGTCTGGGCAACATAAGTAGGCTCAGTCTCTAGAAAAATATTTAAAAATTGTCTGGGCGTAGCTTTGCATGCCTGTAGTCCCAGCTACTTGAGAGGCTGAGGTGAAAGCATCACTGGAGCCTAAGAGTTTGAGGCTGAAGTGAACCAAGATTCAGCCCATGCACTGACAGAGTGTGACGTGTGTGTGTGTGTATAAAAATTTGTATGTGAAAAAAATTCAAGCACAGGAGAAAAGTGAAAGCCCATGGTGGGGGATGTGGAGAAAGGTGACTATGGCTCCAGCAACTCAGTGAGACTTGGTTTTCCATCTTGAAGAATTGCCCATCCACACTGATACCATAGCCCAACAATTGCCCCTTCTTACATTCCACCTGCTGGGATACCAGTATGTAGCCTTTTGAAAAAAATAAAATCTTTCACCTAAGAGAAGGACAAGAGAAAATGAGGGTGTCACATCTAAAGCCTTCATTTTCTTTATGAATCAACAGCCACTTGTCATTGGAATTGTCCAAAGGTGACTGACAGCACCAATACACTTAATGAATCAACCAGGGAAAATGGGCCTCTCAGGTAAGGAGGAGGCACAATGGTCACAAAACCCAATCCGTTTTCAGCTTTGCATGGTGCTCGCATCTCAAGAAGTGGTGTTAGCCATGTGAACCGTGTTCACTGGACAAGGCCAGAGGAAAGAATATGTAGTACAACACAACTATGGGGCTGCAAATCAAACTGGTAGTGAGAGCGTGCATGAGGCTTCAGTGGCCGAGACACTGGTGGCTACCCTTCGGTGTCACTTAAACCTTTGAGGTGAAGGACGTTTTTTTTCCCAATTGGCTCAGAGAAACTAATCAACATTAAAATTGAGATTTGTTTTTCTTTTCAAAATTTCTAAGACACAGAGGACTCTAACACTCCAAAAGACATTCAGATATTCGTGCAGCTGAGGACTTGCCTGCTCTGTAGAGGGATGGCAGAGCAGCAGCCACCAGCTTTAAGAGCTTTAAGCTCCTCCTCTTATAGGGACAGGCCACCCCCACACAACCCCCCTAACTTCATAGGCTCTGGCTGTCAGGTGCACCTGGGGGACTGTCTTCCTCCCATCTCATTAGCTCTCCAAGACAGTCCAGCTCAATCTAAAACCTACCCTAAGATGGCGGGATGTAGACTCTCCTCCATTCTCCCAGCGCAGTGTGACTTCTGGAGAGTGCTCCCCCATCGTCTTACCTCAAATGATGTGAAAAGAGCTGGTTCCCGGGTAGTTAGATGTTCAGTGACCTAACAGGCCCAGCATGCGCAGGGCCTGGCCCCACAGCGTGGCACCTCTCTCCTACCTGGCCTTCACTTCGGCCTTTTCTCTTCTGTCACCAATGTCAGGTGATGGTCACCAGTGTCACACTCTTATGAGCTTGGTAAGTAGCAGGGGTGTAAACCCCAACAGATTTCCTGTGACTCTACCCTCTTACCTCCCAATCAAGTGACATTATAAGCATAATTTTATATTTGATCTAATTTATGCATAACCTTTTAATAACATTTCTGACAACAGCCCACACAACCACATGAGTCTGGGCTACAGAACACACGGGAGAGGCTGGGGTAGCAGGTTTCACTTACTTTATTCCAATGTGAAATGAAGATTGATGATTTAAAAACAAGACAAAGTTGTTTATCAGCTGTGGGGTGGCTACACTTGCTAGCTCATGTTCACTTCCTTTGAAACAAGGTATCTGGACAGACCATATTCATAAGTAGGTCTTCGCAAAACCCCAGACAGAAGTTCCAGTCAGACACAGCTCCCTCAGGCTCACAGGGCGGCAACCTCCTCCTCCATGTTAGGCTCTGACAGCAGGCAAGGGAAGAAGCACAGGCAGCAGGGGACAGGGAGGGTCCGGGACTGTAGGGATCCCCAAATGCCCCAGAGGTATTCTCTGTAGAAAGGCACACGCAGGTCTCACTGTGTCAGTGCAGTGGCTGAATCATGGGTCACTGCAGCCTCAATCTCTTAGGCTCCAGTGATGCTTTCACCTCAGCCTCTCAAGTAGCTGTGTGGCAAAAAGCCTCCTACTTTTTACTTAAAACCTGGACTTTAAGCCAGGTTGGGCCTGGGAATAGTGGCAGCAAAAGCAGCAGCCAAATGTATACACTCCAGATGTCTACACTCATGGGCACAGGCATATTCCACACTTGCTGGAGCACGAGAGGCCTGAGAGGCACCTGTTTCCCAGCTACTAACTGATGTCCACACACCCCATTCACGTGTCTTCATTTAGGTCTCTGCATCGTATATTTGCTCAGCCAGTGCAAACACATCTTCTGGGGGGCAACATTAATTGCAGCACCTGCCCCACTTGTTCTGGGAGGGAGTCAAGAGGAATCTGGTCAGCTCCTAATCCCCCAGGACAAAGGTGATGCCCTCTTTTCAGGACTTACATCCAGCAGCGTCATCTCCGGATGGGTTTTTCAAACACAAGCAGCATGAGGTAGCAAGCATGGTGTGACAGGCTCAGGGCCATGGGCAGCCGGCTGCTGGAGAAGCAGCACAGGGCAGGCACATCTGTGGGTGGCACCATGACAAGCCAAGACAGCCACAGCCCGTAATCCCAACAGCTCCAGCCCAGATGGCATTCAAATCTTCCCGGATAGTATTGGGGTGCCCGATGCCCATCACTCGCCCTCTCATTAGCACGGCCTTGTTGGTTACTCAGGGACTAAGGAGAGAGGGTGGGGGATGTAGATCCAGGGTGGGCACTGCCTCACAGCCAGAGTCCACCTGACTGCAGGCCAGCAAGCAAGCCCAAGCAGCTCAGCTCTAGTCACCTCTGGCTGCACTTTTTATGTGTAATTTACACAAAGGCAGCAAAAGGAGGTCAACATTAGCTGTTGTGACATGAAAGTCTATGCCCCATTAAGACCTTAAAATGCTATTGTCTTAAGCTCTCTTTATTCTAATAAAATTTATACAAATAAACACATACAAGCTGAACTACTATAAAGGAAATATTAGGATTTTTTAAACCCATAAACAGACATGAAAACAGTCACTGTTTGATTGCAGAGAAAGTGAGCTTCTAAAGCAGCTGACCACAAAACAGCCTCACCAAACCCCAGGCAGGCCAGGCAGTCTGAACACTACAAGGCCACGTGATGCTCACAGAGGATGACAGCTCCCGTGAGTATTGCAAGGCACTGTGTTAGCTTCTCACTCACAGTCTCAGAATACCCTGTGAGGGGAGGCCCCGTCTCACTAGAGCACAGGAGGTTCCTGAGCTCTTCCCAGAAAATGGTCATCAAACGATGGAGCAGGGGGAAGCCCAGACAGAACAAGTGAGTCCCTAGGGTCTCCTTAACCTCCCTCAGCTCCTCCACATGGGTCCCTGAGGGAAAGTGAGCAGTCTCCTAACCCCTTTGTTAGGGTTCCAGTCCTGCAGGTCTGGACTCTCTCATTTTATGCTACCATAGGGGGTGACAATGCAACCCCAGGCTCCTTTTTTGCCATCCCTCAATGCCAGGCCAGACCCAGAGCCCTTTGCTAACACAGCCCAGGGGATGCTCAAGGCCCACCTTGGCACAGTCACATGTAGTGTACTGAGATGAGCAAGGAGGTGCAAGTAGACACAAATCCCCATGGGCTTGGCCTCAGGCATGTTCCACAGGCTCAGGGCCTCGCAGATGAGCTCACAGCCCTCCTTCAGGAAGCCTGCAGATCACACCCTCAGGGAGCAGTGCTCAGATGAGCAGGCAGGCCCCACATCCCCCACCCCATGATGCTCTGAACTACTTTGCAGGCTTCTGCACTGGTCAGTCCCCACTGCTTTCTGGTGAGATGTACGAGTTGAAGTGAGTGTTGAATGCCACACAGCTGATGGGGCTCACTGCCTTGCACATGTTGTAAAACACCTCCGGGTTACAAGGGTCAGCTGTGGAGACACAGCTTGATGGGAGGTAGCCCCACTCCACCATCAGTAGTGCTGGGTTGCCCTGATCTACACCTTCCAGATACTTGCTGAGATATCTGCATGCTTCTCTAAGGGACTGGGTCACGAGACACCCCTGGCAAGGACCAGCTGGCAGAACAGGCTGGACACTCTCCTTCAGCCTCCCCAGCAGCCCCGCCTGTGCTGTCATCTGTGCTGAAGATCTCCGTGGTAAGATTATGGGAAACTTTTACAGCAAGTTTTCCTTTCTCACTTCCCTATCTTAATAACAGCACTGATAACTTTTAAGCCCTAGCAAGCTGAAACTGCAAGACACATGATCTTCTGCCTTAGAAGGGCCATGTTTGGGCAGTGTGTGCCCAGGTGAGAGCCCCATGGTTGTTAGTGGCAGCCGGGAGCTGGATGGGCCTGGCCCCATAGCCTAGTGAAAAGTGGGACCCTCTCCTTCCAGAGCATGGAAGTCTCAGAGGCTGGAAAAAGGTGCCTGAGTGGCCTGCCAAAAAGCATAAGGCTAGAAGGGCTGGAAGGAACCCCAACAGTCTTCAAGGTGCCTGAGAGGGCTGGGCTCATTCCAGCTTTCTTTGCTTTCATCCTGTTAGCAAGAAAACCTGCTCACAGATGGCAGGCAGGCCTGAGGCTGCCATTCCCTCATCAGGGGCTATAGGCACCTTTAATGTGGCTCTTTCTTGAAGCAGCAGCTCAGGCAGGTTCTCGAAGAGAAATTCCCTCATTATCCATAGGTCCTTGTTCCAGCCCCGTGTCTGCAGAGGGACTAGGGAGGGAGAAAATCGCTCAGCCTGTGACAAACAACCGGCTCTGAGATATCTCTTTTGTTACTTCCTCACAGACAGCATCAAACTTCCAAATGAACAGACCAGCATGGAGCCTCCAGAAAAGTGCACAGAATTCTGTCTAGTACCCAGATGGAAGGGGGTTCCCAGTGAGGGCAGGGCCAGGCTGCATGCACCTCTTCAGGAATGTTCTCCTCATTGTCCAACTTCAAGGTGTGCATCCTCTCTGTGCATGCAGTCCATGGCAGGCTCTGCCTGGGGAACCGTCCAGCTGCACACCTGCAATGTGGTGGTGACCCTCTTGAATGAGTGGTTGTGGGCCCCATGGCAGTCATCAGAGAGGGAGATGCTTAGCCCACGAAGCCCAGAGCCCTGCCACAGGCTTCTGTGAGGCCTCCATCTGCTCTGGGTTCTTGCCCTGAAAGGCTGTCCTGAAGTCAAACAGAAGAAGGTGGGCCTCTCTTCCAGGGCTGCTCTCTATCCCACTGACAGCTCCCTAGAGGGCGACTCAGACAGCGGGGACAGATTCCTCAGGCAGAAGGACTGGAGTTTAGGCTGACGGGTTCATTCCATACCCCCACATGACATGACATAAGGCAGGGGCTGTGGGACAAAGGCATTGCCTTTCCTTCTGGGATGAGGAATGGCTTAGGAGACAGGGTATGGTGGGGCTGGGGTTGAACGATGGGCTTCACTGAGTAAGTGTCCTGGTTATCTGTCCACAGACCCAGAACAAGTGGCATCCCAGGAGCCTGGGAGGGGCTGGCAGAGACTTACTGTTTCCAGCAAAAGCCCATGTGGATGCGGTAATGCTGCCTGCTGGTCCTTGGCTGTAATTACAAACAGGTACTTGAGGTCTCCATGCATCTTGCAGCTCTCAGAGAGTGTGTTCCAGCTGCTCATGGTAGGCACTTTTAGTCACTGAACGTGCTTCAGGAATGGCCAAGCTTGATTAAGCCAGGCGTCTTGCTGTGAGACCCTCCACCCAACTGAGGACCCTCTTCCTTGTTCCCCCTGGCAGTTTCACCTTCCAGTTCTGGTTCTAGAGACACGATGGCCCCTCTTGGGCCCCTGGGAGAATGTGCTCAGGTGACACACTGTCGACAGTGCCCATTTCCAAGCCATTCTTCCATTTCCCACTGTTTGAGGGGCCGAGGCCAGTGATCAGCACAGGGCCACCCAGGGCCAGCTGTCTGCACCTAAACGTCATGCTGGTCTGGATGTCTCAGGGCCAGAACTCTCCAGGTGAGATGGCCTGGTCCTCAGCACCTGGCCTCCGTGCTCCTTTTTCCTCTGTTCAATCCTGGCCCCAATGCCTCCCGCAGCTCTCAGGTCACCATTGGAGAAGATGCTCAGGAAGAACAAGCAGCTGCAGTCAACCCTGCTGAAGGTGGCATATGGGTCCAGGTTCTTGAGCTGGTCTTCGACATGGTACATGTAAATGTAGGCTTTGAGCAGTGTGAGTAGCTCTTTCCGGAAGGAGGGGAAAACGGTGTTTCCAGGGTCCTACACCCTAGAACGACCCATCTAGCACAGAAAATAGTTTGCAATGTGCTATCATGTGTGATTTTAATTTTCAACTTTAGGCTTTCATTTTCAATTTCCACAATAAACACATAAGGTGGGGTTCTGATTTCAACACACACACATTCTCTCTCTCTCCCTCTCTCTTAGAATCTTCCAGTGCATTCACACTGAAAGCCAAAGTCCTCCCAGTATCTTGTGAGAACCTAAATGATCTGAATAGTTTGTCATTGCTTTTGGGGATCTGGGAAAATCTCTGCACATGTCTGGAGACCGCTGTTATGCCATTTTTAATAAATCTGTTGTGCTTCAATTCAGAAGTGTGTGAGGGGAGTTGTGGAGGAATTGGCATTTGGGTTAGAATTTCCAGGAACACCAGAGACAGATGACACCTGTTTTCTGCTTCATAATGTCAAGTTTTACGACGACTAAAACCTAATTCTACAAGAAAATTAGACAGAAAAACTTTATAGGCAAAAATTATCTTATTAAATAGGAAAATCTAAGTATTTTATTTTAAAATTTCCTTTTTCTTAGTAGGACCTAATCATAGAAATGTAAACTCTATATGCCAACAGCCTCTACTGTAGGATGGTTTATTGTATGTACTCATTCTACTGATTTCTTACAAAAACTTTTTCCGTAAGGGAAATTAGAATATTGTTCAACATATATTGAATTCACAATTATTACCTTATTTCTCACTTAGTATTTTATGATTCTGTCTTCTTTAATATGAAGATTACTATGACTGTGTTTTCACTTTCTAAATTATCATATGTCACATTTGTCTGTAATTTCCTTTCAGAAGTTGTAAAATAGCATGCTCAAATGTATATATTATGTATAAATTATATAATTTATAATTTATTAAAATATTTGGCTTGTATGTTTAATTGACTCTAGGCACAATGTTACTATTAGCATCTTCTTCCAGTTTTCCCAACTTTTATTTGACTAATAGTACAATTTATTTCCAATTTTTATTTTATATGTCAATGTTTTATACTATATTTACAATATTTATATTGTTACCATATTTAGAAATGTAATACTTTTCAATTAAAAGCTAGATTACAGCCTTACCGTTTTGTGTAAGAAAAGCAGCAATGCATCAGTAGCATAATTTAAAACTTTCTCTAGTATTACTTAAATGCTTATTCCTTCAAACTTTCTCATCACAGCTCTTTGTAATAATTATAATGTGTTTTCTCTGAAATGTTGTTGTCCTAACTGTATCCAAATAATTCAAAATTCATACTTTTCATAGATTCACAGGAAGAGTTAAAAATTGTAGTTACCTAGGATTCTTTTTCATTTGGACACTATGTTTATTCAGGATTTTATGGATTAAAGTTTCTCTTAATTATGTTTTATAATTTTATGTTTCTGTATTTTTTAGAGTAGGCTGTCTCACATCAGTTAATTGTGTTTTTACTTTCTACCTATTTATTATGATTTTGAATTTCATTATTCAAATAAGAATTTGGGGGTTAATGTTTATTTTAACTTTGTTTTGCAATTTTACATTTCTGTGTTTCATGTTTTAGGGTAGGGCACCTTATATTAGTTTATTGTTTTAAGTTTTAATTTGTATAATATAATATTGTATAACAATATTCAACTCTGTATGCATTAAGACAGTGTGGGGCAGAAGTCAAATATGAACCATCCCTATGTCTTTTGTTAATATAATGATTTCACTGTTTGTTTGCCTGTATAAATATTGCCCCTATTTTGTTTATGACTTGTATATTTTCTTCTTATTTGATGGCCAATAATTTATTCTGTCTAAGTGAGTAATCATGGAAATTGTCTTAATTTCAACATCTATTGTTTATATTATCTTAGTGTGAAAGAAAGATTTATGCGATTTGAAGATAATTTTTCAGAAACTTTGTAACTCTGTCTCTTCGGGTGTCATTTTTTTTTTTTTTCTTTTGACAGACTCTCACCCTGTTGCCAAAGTGCAGTGGCACAATCTTGGATCACTGCAACCTCTACCTCCCAGGTTAAAGCAATTCTCCAGCTGCTGCCTCTTGAGTAGCTGGCATTAAAGTTGTGCACCACCGCGCCTGGCTAATTTTTGTATTTTTCATGAAGCTGGGGTTTCACCATGTTGGCCAGGCTGGTCTTGAACTTATGGCCTCAAGTAACCTGCATGCCTCAGCCTCCCAGAGTGCTGGGATTACAGGCATGAGTGATCACTCTTGGCCCTTGGGTGTCATTTTTAATTTCCATTGTGGTAAAAATACATAACATAAAATTTAGAATCTTTAATATTTTTTCTTATACAGTTCAGTCATGTTAAGTGTATTTACATTGTTATGCAACATATTTGTAAAATTTTTTCTTTTGCAAAACTAAAACTCAGTACACATGAAATGACAACTACCCATTGTCCTTACCACCTGGCTCATGATAAAAATCATTCTATTTTCTGGTTCTAAGTTTCAATACTTTAGATATTACATATAAGTAGAATCATAGAGTATCTGTTTTATTGTGACTAATTTTACTTAGCATTATGTTCTCAAGATTCCTCTTTATTGTGGATGGTACAAGATTTTCTGCCTTTAAAAGCTAAGTAATATTCCATTACTTTTATATTACAAATTGTATTTATTTATTCATCCTATGAGGAAAGTTTGTGTTGCTTTCACCTATTGGCCTTTCTGAATAATGCTCCAATGAATATTGGTATGCAAATAGCTATTTGCTCATATGTGTGAGGTTTACATGTGTGCTACCTTCTGTTTTATTGGAAAAATTGTCTGTCTTTATGCCAGAAACAAACTGTTTTCATTGCTGTTGCTTTGTAATGTGCTTTGAAATCAGAAAAGGTGAGGTCACTAACATTGTTTTTTTTTTAAACATTTTTGGGCTCTTTATGGTCGCTTGACATTCCATATAATTTGTTGGTTCCTTTTTCTATTTCAAAAAAAAATTCTTAATTTAAAAGGGATTGCATTGAATCTGTAACTCGCTTTAGACATCATAAGCATTATTCATAATATTAAGTCTTACAACCGTTAAACATGAGCATGCTCAAAAGTGAGTTGTTTAATTTCCATATATATGTTGCTATTTTTGTTTTGTTCTGTTATTCATTTCTAGTTTTATTCCATTTTGATCAGAAATAATAGCCATTGAAAGGCTAAACCACTCTGGGAAGTGACCTCCATTATATAACATTACAAAGATATGTGAGGGCACCACTTCTGCCCTGATGGGCTACTGGGATGAGTTCTCTTAGATGACACATTGCAGACAAATGCAGGAAACAATATAACCCCTTTTTCATGTAAACTCTTCCCTATTTTTGTAGAGTATTAGTGATAGTGGTGGCTTTCAAGTCTTGGAGAAAGGCTGGCAGTACCGTGAAGCTGCCTGCTACAGATGATATCGGGGGGAATAATTAAAACTATACAAACTGTAGTAACATGAATAAATATAGCCTAGTGTAAAGTAAAAACAACACAAAGGTCTTCTCTGATATTTCTACAAGAATGTAAAAAGGGACTTTACACTTAACCAGGTTGCCACTGGAACCAGTTAAGGCTAGATTTTTGGGGGTAGATCTGAGGGTCACTCATGGAAATCCCCTAGGAGAAAGTGCAGAGAAATTCCATGTTTGGGTCTGGATCCTGGGCCCATCCTGGTTTTGTCAGGTCCCTCTCTGTAGAGACCCCCATGTGCCTGCTCTCACCATAACTCATTGTATGCCATGCTTGGGGTGTGGTGAACCTGCCAGTTGTCCAAGGAGATGGGGGACTTGAACCCATCAAATATCTGCTCACTGATTTTAATGCAGCTCTACAAAGAGTGTTCCCAGCAGCAAAAAAAGTTAATTGTCTTCTTTGTTTTTACCACCAGGTGACATCTCCATTAGAAATTCTGTTTCCTAGATCAGGAACATAGGAGTATCTGCATAGACCCCCAGCCAATGAGGAAACCCGAGGACAGCTTAAGGCCTTGGGATTCACATCTGAGTAGACGTACTTGGTCCGCAACTCACAACTTTTTATTCCACCAACCGTGACCTGGGTATGAACATGACAGACCCACCAGGGTTCCTGTGTCTTAAAACCTGCCCCTGTGAGGAAAAGCCCCCTCCTTTCCTGCTCCCCTTGCAACACAGGGTAATTGTAGGCAGGGTCGGGTTGCCCAGATTAGATGACACAGGTGGCCTGGCATGGACGGAACTGCCCTGGGCTACACTGTGTTACCTGTGGGTGCCTCTTGTCGAATGGCCAATGGTATCAAGGATGTAGGCTGAGCCAGTATGTATACTGTCAGAAAAGGCTCTCACTTTGGGCCTTTCTCAGGCAACAGCTTGGGAATATAACCTACAATGAGAACACAGTGCCCTCTCAAGCATCTCCCAAGAAGTTAGCTAGATACAGGGCTGTCTCTAGAATGTGGGTTTCTGGTTCCCAAAGTTCTAAATTCTGTTAGGTTCTGTCACAAGGAAGTCTGTTAACTTCTTCAAGGTTTTATCCCCTGAGCCCTTTTCCTCCATAAATCTATGCAAAGTCCCTACTGGGCTGCTGATTGCTCACCCTCCTCTCCCATGTCAACTCTTTACCTGTAAACAGTTATGCAAACACAATTATGTCCCTTACTTCCCAAAAAGTTCTAAATGCAGCCAGGGCCCCAGGTTTGAGAGAACAGAGTGGGTTAAAATCTTCTTTTCCTTTTCATTTCTGTGACCATATGAAAATGACTGTGTGCTTCAGGTCTCCCCAGCCCTGAAGTATGCATAATGGGATTATGCTAATATCAACTTCCAAAAACAGTCTTTGGTGATATATGAGATAGAATGAATCAAAATCGGTTGGATGCAGTGGCTCTTGCTGTAATCTTAGCAGATTGGTAGACCAAGGCAGCTGGAACACTTAAGGCCAGGGGTTTGAAACCAGCCATGGCCAGCATGGCAAAAACCCTTCTCTACTAAAAATCCAAAAATTAGCCAGATGTGTTGATGCATGCCTGTAATCCCAGCCACTCAGGAGGCTGAGGTGTAAGAATCACTTGAGCCCAGGAAGCAGAGATTACATTGAGCCATGATCCTGCCACTGCACTCCAGCCTGGGTGACAGAGCGAGACTGTGTCTCAAAAAATATATATATATATAATGTATATAAATAATTTTATTTATATATTATATATAACTATATATATATCAATTATATATAACTATATATAATATATAAACTTATACATATATATCTTTATATATAAAAGATACATAGTTTATGTATCTTTATACATAAAAGATATATATTTTATATATATGGCCTTAATTTTCCATTCCACAGCAGAAGAGGTTGAAATTAAAAGAAAATCAGATACTGTCTTCTGGCATTAAATATTCCAGTGCTGTGCATTATTTTTAGAATCATATGTATATGCCTCATCTCAGCCTATGTGGTGGGCGCCCCCAACAAAGTCTCACAACAACACTAAGTTGTGAGTGACTCTGTTATTTTAAAACGCAGCTCACCTCTCAGTGCCTCAGAAGCAGGTACTATAACACCGGGTTTCTAACAAAGAGATGGGATTCCAGCTCAAGTCTGTTTCCCTGTGCTTACTTAAAGGTAGTAATATTCTCAGAAAGGTTTAGGAGGTAGGTTCTGGATTAGTACGGAATTGCTTAAAGGAAAAATGTATGGAAAATCACTGGGCATGAACAACTATTTTTTCTTGCTACACACAGATCATATGTGCAAATTTGGGGACAGTTAGTACAAAACATGTGATGGAAATTTGGGCTTTCACATCAGTGAGCTTATTTCACACAGACTCCAGTTGACCATATTGGTTCCGACCAATTTTAGCCACTTTTTAGAAGTCTCATAAGTGGAATAAATTTCATTCTTTCAACAAGTTGTATCTTTTCTTATCTGTCATTCTGCAAACTGAAGAATTTCTGCTAGTCATTGGATGAACTCTTTGGGGACCTGGTTCTAGTTTCTGTCAAAGGGAAAACAACAAATGTGATAGGTTATCACTTCTGACTTAGTTCAGACTTCTATACCAAAAAGCATAGACTAGGCAACTTATAAATAAAAGACATTAGTTCTAGAGGCCAGAAATTTGAGATTGGGCTTCCAGCATGGTTGGGGTCTGGTAAGGACTCTCTTCTGAGTTTCAAACTCCAGACTTCAGGTTGTTTTCTCATTTAGCAGAGAGAGGGAGAGACAGCCTTCTGCGGTTTCTTTTACAAAGCCCGTAATCGCTATCATGAGGTCCTCATGCTTTGGACTTAATTACCTCTGACCTGCTAAGGCCATTACACTGGGGATTAAGGTTCTGGTATGTGAACATGGTGGGGAATCACATAGTCTACTGCAACTTCCAAATTTATATTTCTAAAACAGCTATTATTTTCCTCTTACTTGCTCTGTCCTGTGCGTCCTCTCTCAATCTCTCTGTCTCCCTTTCTCTCTTTTTCTCTGCATATGTCTGTCTATCTCTTTCATTTTCCATCTCTGTATTGTAATCCTCAAGATGAGGAAGTAATCTACAGTGTCCTAAGATGCTCTAGGCACAGATCCACATGATAGAGAACTGAGGAGATGCCCAGGCCAATCGAGAGGAAGGAACTCGGGCTCTCAGTTCACACTGAATCGTGCCAGTTTCCATGAGGCAGATAGAAGGCTGATCTCTCCTCAAATCCAGCTTCAGTTGAAATCACAGCCCCAGCCTCGTAAGAGACCTTGAGGCAGAGGCACCCAACTAAGCTATATCGAGATTCTGGTTCACAAAAGTTGTGAGATAGTATTTGTTGTCAACATGTGCTAAAATTCAGGGAAATTTTGTCAGAGAGGGGCAAATGACTAATCTCCTCTTTCAGTCCCCAGGATCCTCCCTCCCTTCTTTTCCTTTCTTTCTCAGGCTGCCTGCCGCCACAATTGTCCCGTTATAACCTCCTCTGCTGAACTCACCTGTGCCTGTGAGTCTCTTCACAAAGAGTGGCTTTTCCCTGGCACACTTTCCACACCTGCGCAGGACTGGCTCTCTGTTGTCATTCTGGTGACAACATAATGTCACCTCAGGGAGGCATTCATGTCCCCTCCAGGCAACCTCTCCCCAGCCCTCCCTCCCAACATTCTACTTTATTTCCATTATAAAATGCTCTTTTCTTTCACATGTACTTGCTTTAGTGTTTTTGTCCTGCCGTCCTCAGACCGTGGGCTCCCGCCGGGATGCAGGGATAACATAATCATTTTTGGTACCACATGGTGAACCTACCAAGGTAGCTGCCACATGGTGAGTGCTAGGGGAAGAGTCGCTGAGTAAAATAACATGGAAAATCACAAAGCCCTTCTGCCCGCTTTTGGTCACCCAATAATGTGGAGATCATGAATGATAACAGGAGGTGCAGGACCTCAGGCTGTCTCTCCCCCGGCTCCAGCTGCTCCAGTAAAGCCCAGCGGGCATAAGAAACACGGGGTCTGCCGCCACCTAGAGGCCTCCACTAGCCCTGAAGTCCCAGGTGGAAGCATCACAAAACAGGCACCTGCATTGGGGAATTCTCAAGGCAGTGGCTAATCAAGGACCCCTGGGAAAAGGAGCAGTATCTGAAGGCTCCAAGGGCCATAAAAGTAACCTCGGAAACCTCCCTTGATTCCTATTTTCCTCAGCCTCTTTGAGTGTGCTGTGCACTCATTAAACATTTTAACAGCATTCAGAGACATTATTTTCTTCCACTTCTGAATGAGGAACTCAAGGACAGCCCAAAAAACTAGTATTTTTTCTGGGCCCCACACTCCAGAGCCCAGTGCATTGTCACATTCTGCTTTATTCCAAGTCCTCATCTGCCCACATCTCTAGGCCTCTCTCTTCTCTGAAGGACCTCTAGAACCTGAAAAGCCTCTTCCCAGAGTCTCAAAGCACAGTGAGTTACCAATGAAGAGCCAAGGGGAGCAGACACTTATGAGTATCTAGAATTCTTGGTATTATTCCTTTTGAGTACCCCTATTTATGAGAGAGAAAACGAAGGTTTTCTTTCCCGTAGCCTCACTTTATATCACATGGGGTGGTTGGGGGAGGGCATAGCTCATTTTAGTTCCATGTGCCCATAGAGGTGGGAGTCACAACCCCTGTCCTGTCCTCTTGAAACAGCTGGGAAGATCCCCAGGCCTGGAAGAACCCAGGGAACCTGGAGGATCCTTCATCGCATGCTGTCAGCTCCTGGTCATGTAGCTGGGGGAGTGGATGCCTCTGCCTCATGGCAAAGCTGCCTCTTCTATTTCTTCCCGTTTTGTCACTTCTCTGGTTTCCTCTTCTCTAACCTCACCTCCATGATCTCCACCTTAGAAGCCTGTGTGTGTGTGTGTGTGTGTGGTGTGTTTGTGTGTTCATGGCTGCACACCTATGTGAGAATAAGGAAGGGTAGAAAGCCCAGGTAGAAAGTAGACCACAGGGTTTTCCAGGACTTAGGAGCACTCATTTCCAAAGCAAACCTGATGGGTGGGGTGCATGCAAGGCCTTGGAAGCTGGATCCCTCCCTAATACTCTGTGCTCTTCCCAATTTCTGGGATATGGACCAGTCTTTGCCTTTTTTGGGGGCCTCAGTCTTCCTGTTGTAAAATGGATAGGTGGTCACAAAACTGCATAAACACATGCTCAGTGAAGACAGGGTGTCATGCTCAATACCAGATAGAATATTGGGATGGGGAGAGTTTGAGCAGACTTATGTGTCCACAGTAGCTCAGGCCTCTGAACAGGGCAAATGCAGGTGAACATAAAGCACGGCACAGCCAGGTTTTCTTACCAGGGCTACGGGATGAAACAGTGCACCACAGGCTCTGTTCTGGAGGCTGGTCCCGCAAGATTTTCCCTCCTTCAACCAGCAACTGTTTGATGAATTTCATGTCCTGTGAAGCCCATATCCACCCCCATTACAGTGAGGGGCACAGGGCACTAGACCTGTAAAATAATGTCTTTTGCCTTTTTTTCTTTTCTTTTCTTTTTCTTTTTCTTTATCTTTTTCTTTTAACTGAGTGGCTGTTTCTTCTTTCTCTTTTTCTGTTTTGTTTGTTTTTTAACTAATTTTTAAGAGGTCTTTACAGGTCAGCTGTGGTGCCTCACATCTGTAATTTCAACACTTGAGAGGCTGAGGCGGGCGGATCATTTGAGGTCAGGAGTTAAAAACCAGCCTGGCCAACCTGGTGAAACCCCGTCTCTACTAAAATCACAAAAAATTAGCTGGGAATGGTGGCACAAGCCTGTAGCCCCAGCTACTCAGGAGGCTGAGACAGAAGAATTGCTGAAACTTGGGAGGCAGAGGTTGCAGTGAGCCGAGATTGCACGTCTGCACTCAAGACAGGGTGACAGAGTGAGTCTCTGTGGAAAAAAAAAAAAAGACAGAGAGAGGGAGAGAGAGAGTGCCCTTTATGGAAATGCGAGCCCATTTGTAATTTCATGAGTTGTAAATATTTATTCCAATTTGGGAATTTCTTTTCTTATTGTGGTGTTCTCTTTAAGTTTGTTTTGGATGTTATTAGTGTTTTGTTTTGCTTTGTTTCTATGTAACTTCTCCCTAAATTGATTCATAGATTTCCATTTTCACAATACAATATTTTGGCAGAAATCTTGTGGAAACTGTCTAATCAGTTTAAAAAATTTAAATACATATAAAAAATCGAAGAAATGTAAAAACTGTCCTGAAGAATAACAAAGTTTGTGAGCTTAAAATGACATATATTCAGACTTAGATTAAAGCTATAGTAATAAAAGCTATCTATGATAGTAATGCAAAAATAGGCACAAAGAAAACTAGAAAAACTCGAGAGTCCAACTCAGACTCACACATTTGGACATTTTGTATATTACAAAACAGGCACAGAAGAGGAGTGAAGACAGTCTTCTCGGTAAATAGCCTTGAGTCAACCAGTTATTTATGTGAGAAAAAACACTCCTATCTTATATTATTAACAAATTCCAATGAAAAGTGGATTTTAAATTTTAAGGTCAAAGCTGAAAACAATATTTCTAGTAGATAACATAGATAAATATGTCCATGACTGGCACAGGCCCAGATTTCTTGGGACACAAAATGCATTAATTCTCAAGACAAAAATATGACAAATTGGACTTTATTACAATTAAAACCTTCTCTTCATAAAAAAAAACCTTCAGGAGAGCTGAAAGGCAAGAACAAAGTGGAAATCAACATTTGTCATATATTGATGTGGCAAAAGCCTTTTATCTAGTTTATTTAACCAAATCCCATCAATTAATAAACAAAGATGCAATACATTGAACAAAATTGGCAAACATGTGACTAGGAGTTCCACATACAGAACCGAAGGGCCAACAAGTAGATGAACATATCCACATCCTTATGCATCAGAACAATGCATATGAAAACTACAATTGAATACCACTATGCAATCATTCACATTTTTGAAAACTGACAAAATTAAGTACTAGTGATGATGTCAAGCAACTGGAACTTTCTTATACCATTCTGTGTGCAAACTGTTATAACGGCATTCAAAACCTCTTGAGTAGTAACTCCTTACATACACGATGTACATAAGCACACTCTAGGACCCAGCAACTCTGCTACTAGGTATATACACCCAATAGAAATGCCAGCATATTTTCCAATGCAGACAAATGCTCTAAGCAGCATTATTTGGTACTTTTCCAAACTGAAAAAAACTCAAATGTGCATCAGTAATAAAATAACTAAATAAAACAGCTACATATTCCTTTATAAGGGGACATTATACAGATATAAAATTAATTGGAGACATATTAAAATATACAAAAATCTAACAAATACAATTTAATTAGATTTAAAAGTCCTATCCACAGCAATCAGCCAATAGAAAAGAAAAAGGCATACAAATAGAAAAAAAAATTGAATTCTCTTTCTCCATTTGCATTATGAGTCACTACGTAGACAATGCTAAAGTCTTTCCAAAACTCCTTTTGGAGAAAACTTGAAAAGCCTCCTGAAATGGATAAGCAAGTAAAGTTTTAGGACACAAAACCAATGTACAAAAACCAGTAGTATTTCTATGCATCAACAACTTTGAATTCCTGAACATCTTCTGGTTTTATTGCATTTTCAATTTTTTCCCTCCATTAACTATACATTTTTTCTTTTTTCAGCTAAACTAATTTATTCTTCTGTATAATTTCACCTTGTTAATAAACCCCAGGCCAAAAAGTGGGAATAAAGTATTTGTCTGCATCCTGTTTCCTCATTTTGAAAACTAGTCTAGATGAAACCTATACTTGTTCTAGGGAGTTGGCATAGACAGCATTTATTTCCGTTCTCAGCAGTGATGCCAGCCAGAAAGAGGGAGTTCCGCATTTTCACTTTGGTTAGACAGGACTCTGGATGGTTGTAGGGGAAAAGATCCAAACTCTAAGGGAGTCAAATCAGACATTGCAAAGATTTATACATTTACTCTGGGAGCAATTATTGTGTTAAATTTTGTGCAAAACACTGCGCAAAGAGCAATTAAAGTGAAAATTATTAAGGCATTACCTTTACCTTGGGAAACTCACACTAGTCAGATTCTCCGAACCCCAGAACATAACAACAACCTAGTAAAATCTTGTTCAGAGTGAAGAGAGGGTGGGAGCAGGAAGGTAAGATTAAAAATTAGGCTGGGTGAATGAGATAATTACCCCTAGTCAAGCAGTGGAAGTATGGATGGCTTTGGGATGGGTGAAGACAAAAGAATCTCAGAAGAGGGTGCAGATAAAAAAAGGCAGAAACACAGGAGGCTTATGCAGGAAGAGGAATGAGTTTGCTGGACTGGGGAGAGTGACAGTAAAAAGCAGAGGATAATAGGCATCTCTGGTCATCTAGGGACTATAGGGTGGATTAGTTGGGGGTTACAGAATCAGTGAGGTACTTTTTAACAGTAGGATGGGTAAATAAGAGCTATAATTTGGAATAATTATGTAGCAATGGTGGTTAGGAGCAATAGAGACTCAAAGTATTACATAAATATTTTTTTTCTTATTCTCCCACACAAGCGTTTTGCCTTTCCTCTTAAACTGAGAACGGAGTGGTTTGCTATGATGTTTTTAAATTCTCACAGACAAGCATTATTCTTTGCTGCCTTTTAGTAAAGGTTAGTTTTAACCAAATTAAAGAAGATTGAATGGATTTTCTTGCTCATAATGGTTGAGTGCAACATCTCATACCTTCTACTAGTTTTCAGTATAACTGAAATAACAGAGTGTCAATACTCCATGGAGGGGTGCTCCGCTTGCTAAGGCTCCCTCCTCTGGGCTAGGCCTTCTACACCATGGCTGTCCTGCTCTGGCTGGAGCTGGAATTTGGATTGACCTCTGTGTGTCTTCCTAGCACACAATAGGTGTCCAATTAGCATGGGCAGAATCAAGCTCCTCCCTCTCACCATTTATTTCTCCATTTGTCCCTTGTTGGGAATGGAGAGTCCTGCCACTGAGTTCAGCCCAGGGTTGAAGTTCAAATCTCAGCTGATACTTGGTGGATGTTGACTTTTTTGAGAAGAACTTGGGAGAATAAAACATTATAAAGGCGCTGGCCAGGCACGGTGTCTCATGCCTGTATTCCTGGCATATTGATTGGCTGAGGAGATAGAATTGCTTGAGGCCAGGAATTTGATACCAGCCTTGTCAACATAGTGAGACCCCATTTATACAAAAAACTTGAAGCATTAAAAACATTTAGCCAGGTGTGATAGTTCCAAACTGTTGTCTCAGCTATGCTGGATATTGAGGCAGAGGATCACTTGAGCCAGGAGTTCTAGGCTGCGGTGAACTATGATCACGCTACTGCACTCCAAACAGGCAACCACGCAAGATGATTCAAAAATAAAATCTTTTATTATTCTTCACCCCTATAGTCTCTCCAGAACTTGTGCACTATGTAGCAGAAAGAATCAAACTCCCCAAGAGTTTGGTTCTTGCTCATGATTTGGTTTTCTGCTGCTTGGCTGCCCCGTCATGTCCCCATTTTGTATAAAATAAGAACCCCCCAGTGAAGTGGAGTTTCTCCCCAGCAGAGGGTCTCACCAAGGCCCCAAGACTGGCACTTTAGGTGGAGGCTTGCCTTTCAGCCTCTGAATAATAATTGATACTAAAATTGAGAAGTTTTCCAGACACCAGCTTCCTGAAAGGAGCATCCAGTCAGAAGACAAGATGAGGTCAGTAGCGAAGGTGACTCAGGCTGAGTGGGGAAGTCCACCAGCGTATCTGAAGACTGAGCTAGGGGAGGGTTTCCCTAATGTTCACTCCTTCTGCCCTCCATATATTCCTCTACTTTTCCCAAACTTCCCTCTGACATCCTCCAAACTTTCTATCTTCCCAGGGCTTTCTTGCCAGGGAGTCTAATGAAGTAAAAGCTTTAAAATTGCTTTGATTTTAAAAATAATTTTATTGATTCTTAAAATGTACCGACACAAAATTAGAATACCAATTCTTAAAATGCTTAAAAAGTAAATTAAGTGTAAGTTTACATTTAATTATCTTATTTGATTCCTAATTAAAATACAAAAAAATTTTTTTTGAAACAAGGTCTTGCTCTGTCACCCAGACTGGAGTGCAGTGGTGAGATCTTGGGTTATTGCAACCTCCACCCTCTAGGTTCAAGCGATTCTCATGCGTCAGCCTCCCAAGTAGCTGGGACTACAAGCACACACCACCAATTGGCTAATTTTTGTGTTTTTAGTAGATATGAGGTTTTGCCATGGTGCCCATAGTGGTCGCAAACTCCTCGTCTCAAGTGATTCACCCACCTCGGCCTCCCAAAATGCTGGGATTACAGGTTTGAGTCAATACACCTGACCTTATTTTTTTTTTTAAATTATAGGTAAATTTAAATTACTCAGAAATAGTCAGAATTAACCGTTGGATACCCTGAATCTTTTTCCCATGCATAAGCCTTTCTAATCTTTCTATTCAAATTTAGGATTTGATTCGGTTCTAGTGTTTTAAAACCTGCTTTTTTCCTTCAAAGAAATGCAGACCATCTCTCAGGCCAATGGACATCACGGATTTTCTGATGCTTAGAGGCTGACTGGTTGTTTATCTATGACCTCCCATAATGTACTTAAGTAACACCCTCTTGATGATGGGGTTAAGTTGTTGAAATTACCTTGTCTTTTCTGAAGCACTACGTGGAAAATATTAGATCTTGAAAGAAACACATAAACCCATACCACACACTTCCTTTGAAATTCTCTGCTGCTTATTTAAAGGGATGTTTATTCCTGACTAAGGTCCTACATTACACTCTCTGTAGAACTTTTGGAAACTATAAAAGTACAAGAGAATCAATAAAGCAATTTAATTTCTCACAGGATCCTGATTCCTATAAGAAACACATCAATTCCTATAATTCGGCATATTTCCTCTCAATCATTTTTCTACACATTTTAAATTTTGAGTTCTAATGTATAAGTTTGGTTATACTTTTTAATGTGTGCCTTTCATTAATTTGTTTAATGTTATATCATCTCATAAGCACTTCTCCATGTGATAAAAAATTCTTTGTACATCCCATTTTTAATACATATATGTAGCTCCAAAGAAAAAGCATATCTTGTTTACTCTTCTAATCCTGTAGTATTTGAAAACTTTGTTTTTCCAATTCTTTGAGATAATAAACTGGTTAGGGTTAGTATTTTGGTCCCCATTTAAATTTTCTAAGAGTTGCCTTTCTATAAGTGGCTAAGTGACTGTTACAAGGAGAAGAGCCCTCCTGAAGGGGTGTGCCATGGGGTTGAGGCCTCCCTGCAAAGTGCCTTCCTTGTGGCAGATCCCCATGTGTCTTTCTAAAATCAGCACAGTCAGACTGAGCGTGATTGGAATTCTGCAGCTGTGACCCCTCTCGAATCTTCCTTCAATTCAGATGCAACTAATCTCCTCCTTGGTGGACACCAGGAAGTAGGCTGTAGAGCATTCTGTGACCCTGAAGAATGACACGATGTTCTTGATGAAGAGGGTGGATATTCCTGAAGGAGAAATAATGTTTTCTCAACAGCAGAAGCAGATATCAAGTTTATTCAATGACTGGGTCATGGAAAATCCTGTTCTCTACAGGTTGATGCTACATTCCAGGCAAACCCACACCCTCGGTGTATGCCAGAGGCTTCAGAAACACAAAGGAGCTCATACGAGATGAGTGCCAGGTAGCTATGAAGCCTCAAGAACTTCCACTGCAACAGAAGATAATAACTTACTCTGAAGAATTGTTTGCATCTCCCTGCCCATCCCCTGGCTACTGAGTGCAACCATGCAACTCATTGCATGCAACTATAAATATAGCTACAACTATGAAAATAGCTGAGATTCTAAACCACAAATACAGACAACTACGAATATAGGTGAGACGAAAAACTGTAAACCTTCTTAAGGGTGTACAACATGTAACAACGGCTCCCATTAGCTCATGTTTAGATACCAAGGAAATAATAGCAGGAATGTTTTATGTTCACATTCCAAACAAAACCTATTATCATTCATCGTCAGTTCATTTAGTCCTGTTTTACTCATACTTGTTTTACTCTATCTTGTAAGCACATATGCTTCTCTGCTAGAATTAGAGAAATAAATTAGTCCACTGATAGTGTTTCAAAGTTATATAAGTCATTCTATCAGAAGCCTGTTTATAGGAGTACTTGGCACAGTTATTTCTGTGGGTCTCTGAGACATTCTTATTTTGTTGAAGACAAAGCCCTGTGGCCTGGAACTGATTTGCAAGCACTTTTAGAAAAATAGCCGAGTACAACCAAAAGTATATACTAATGAAAAAGTAAGCCATGCTTTCAGGTATGTAGTTAGTTGATACACTAAAATATTCTTTTATATAATGCAAACAGCACTAACACTTTAAAAAATAGAATTATATCATGCACAGTGAGGGCACTGGAAATTTTTTAAAAAACTTTCATTTCTGGATTATTTACATTAATAACAATTATGTAAAAAATTTAACCTAGGGGAAGCTAAGCATATGTCTTCTTATTTAATATAACAAGATGCAAAATAGGCAAGTTTCCATATATGATAGTAGGACATAAAGTGTGCTGATACAAATATGAAACATAAAATATAAGTAAGAAATAGAAAAAATGACCTGTGTATGTTGATTATTTATATGTGTGTTTATTACTATTTTTAGTAGCTTAGATTATGTAAATATGTATTATATTTTAGGCAGCAGCAAATATTAACAAATTTTTTAACGTGCAGCTTAGATAAGAATTGATGATTACAATTTATTAATATTAGCTACTTACGACAAACATTATGCAAAAAGAAATTCTAAAAATAATTTTGTATTAACTTTGAAAATTTTAAACTCTTTTCTACAGAAGTTTTTTAATTACAGACAATAAAATAGAAAGTTTATAAAAAAGAAAATGCTACTGAGAAATAGTTGGATTTTGATTCATTATTTTTTCTGAATATTAGTACTTGGAGCTTTACTGTTAATAATGCCAATAGGCTACACAAATTTTCTCTTCAGTAAAATGGCAAAACAGAAGGCATTCAATTTTTAAATATACGATGCAATTTTATTACCGTTTTTCTATATAAAAGACACAAAATTTAGACCAATAAAAACAGAATTTCTTCCATGAAATTTCAAGAGCTGAGCTGAGCTGGGAAGAGCTAACCTGCTTAATATCAGAGTTTTAAATTAAAGCAAGAGGCCCACATCAAAGAAATAGTTACGCCTTTTTGTCTTCCTTTCTGTGATTGTGTTAAACAACAGGCAACATTAGATCAAGCACCGACTCCTAATTGTTCCATTTTTTCCTCATGGAAAAGCACCAGGAAAGGGTCAGATGGATCAGCACAAACATGGGGCACTGTCTCACTGCCGAGGTGGCACCCTCATAAAAAACAGGCCCGCAATTTTGTGGAAAAGGGGGCAGGAGAGCGTAGAGGAGAATGTATGAGCAAGATTAAAGAGAATTGAATATTAATAGGAATGTATGAAAATTATTATCAAAGTTCCATTTCTTCTCCAGAAACAGGGATCTGAACAAAAGTTTCTGAAGAAGGCCTCAACCAAAAGCCCCTCAGTTAGGTGCCCCTGAATCTAGATGCCTGGACTGGGAATGAAAATCTACATGTGAGCCTCAGTGGCCAAGATTTCCGGTATTGTTTATTTCAACCCCTCAGAGACTGCAATGCACTGACATTTACATGCTTCTCCTAAATGCACATGTCAGCAGCAGTGTGACAACCAATGCTTTCAAAGATATAATGTGGGTATCAGAGTTTCTGGCAAAAATTTAGATAATCTTATCTTTTCAACCTCAAATAACAATATATGCTGAGAAACTTCAAAGGCATGCACCTCCACAAATAATTTTTCAGGAAAGGATAAAGAAGCACAGCTGTAGGAGAAAAATTAGGCTGGAAGTTGATGTTACCTGTGGGAATTGCTAATAATGGAAGCACAGTTTGTTAGAATTTAACATGTCTGATTGGTGAATATAATGTCACAGCAGCATAGATGCAGGAGTACTTGGATCTGACTATGCTATCTAAAGCTAGAATCCTTACATTTTCAAAAGTTTAGAAAAATAGGTTAGTTAGTGGAGGTGGTATTTCTCCTCTTTGGTTGATTTGGGAATTAACACCAATCATCATATGAGTTTCTGGTTCATATGTACACTATGTGTTTTACTCAGGACAATTTAGGTAAATATATAGACTTAATCATTTTCAGGTGTCTGTAAAGGGTGCATTATTAACATTACAGATAACTTTTCATTGGAATAAAATACCTCGACCCAGAATCTTCTATGGCCCCATCAATTGAGGTCAGTCATTTATAATAAAATGAAGTCTACTATTCTTTTTAAAATATACAAAGTAAAAGTCATCAAGATCAAAGTTATTAAGAAATAAAATTATAAGAAAAACACAGCTGTACCATTACATCTTAATAAATCCCAAAATTGTATATATACTGTAGAAATAATATAAGTAGTTATAATGTTTAAATATATTAGAGGAAAAGTTTAAAAGTAAGATCAAAATAAGGTATATTATCAAAATAATTAGGTAAAAATTTTAAATTTAAAGGATAGAATACATAGAAAAATTACATAATTGAAAAAGAAATTATGAATTAGAAGATATGATGAAGTGAATATTTAGAAGTCCCAATAGGGATAAAACAAATAAACAATATGAAAAATTAAAATACATAAAAATCTAGAATAAGTCATGTTGTTTAAGTGCAAGTTTGAATAAATAAAATGGAGTGAATGTCAAATAGGGAATAAAAATATATAATTATTAAAATAATTAATTATAATAGCTTAAAGGCATTCTGATCAAAAGAAAAACAATAGTTAAAAGCATAATACCATAATAGAGAAAATCACGTAAAGCTATCTAAGATAAAATTCAAATTAATTATAAAGCAATGAAAAGAAACACATTTCTCAATATGTGAATAAGATCAAGAATCCAATAGGTTACGGTTTTAAAAGTTCTGAGGGAAAAACATGTAAATTTAAAATTACATATATTTGAAAAGTTATTTTCAGGTTTAAGGACAAAATGTAACTTAATACACAAATACAATGTAAACAGTATAATTATGTCAGTGAAATGCATTTAAAATTTGCTGAAAATTTAGTTTATGAAGAAAAATACTCTTCCTGAGAACAAACATTGAGATAAAATAAATGTGCAAACATCTAAATAGATGGAAACTATGTTAACACTGTGTGAAATTATACACAATATGTGATATATCCATGTGAAGCATATTTATGGAAGCATAAATAAAATGTTATCCCAAGGGTTATATTAAATAAAAGAGTAAATTTGGTAATAGATGAATAACTTATTTTATATCAGTATAATGTGTATTTAAGAGGTTTTTGTCACTAAATTATTAAATATTGAGTGCAAATCCTATATACTGTTTGAACAATACTATTATTTTCTCAGCAAAGATCAGCACTGAAAGACTGATTCCTGCATAGCCACTGACCACAGCTTCTGGAACAACAAAAGCATTGAATCATTAATCCTGAATGTGGCCAATGAGCAAGAGATGAGGAAATCTACCCAGTTCATGACCACAAAGCAACTCACCAGCAGCTGGATGGCCTGGGTAGCTTATTTCTCTGGAGAGACTCTTAGACAGTGACTCCTGATACAGAGATGCTGAGACTGCATTTTGTGCCTGGAGGAGAGAATTACCACGTGTGATTTGAGAGCATCAGTGTTCCTCCAGAAGAGACATTTCTAAATGCTGCTAGTGTGAAAAATGAGCTTATGTTCACGTAGCCCCTGGGGGAAGAAAAACAGTAATATTTAACAGTACATTTTAAGAACCAATAAAATTATTTTTAAAATCAAAGCAATTTTAAAGCTTTTACTTCACTAGACTCCCTGGCAAGAAAGTCCTGGGAAGACAGAAAGTTTGGAGGATGTCAGAGGGAAGTTTGGGAAAAGTAGAGGAATGTACGGCCCACTCAGCCTGAGTCACCTTCGCTACTGACCTCATCTTGTCTCGACTGAGTGCTCCTTTCAGGAAGCTGGTGTCTGGAAAACTTCTCAATTTTAGTATCAATTATTATTCAGAGGTTGAAAGGCAAGCCTCCACCTAAAGTGCCAGTCCTGGGGCCTTGGTGAGACCCTCTGCTGGGAAGAAACTCCACTTCACCTGGGGGTTCTTATTTATACAAAATGGGGACATGACGGGGCAGCCAAGCAGCAGAAAACCGAATCATAAGCAAGAACCAAACTCTTGGGGAGTTTGATTCTTTCTGCTACATAGTGCACAAGTTCTGGAGAGACTATAGGGGTGAAGAATAATAAAAGATTTTATTTTTGAAACATCTTGCGTGGTTGCCCTGGTTGGAGTGCAGCAGCACGATCATAGCTCCCTGTAGCCTAGAACTCCTGGCTCAAGTGATCCTCTGCCTCAATGTCCAGCATAGCTGAGACAAGTTTGGAACTATCACACCTGGCTAAATGTTTTTAATGCTTCAAGTTTTTTGTATAAATGGGGTCTCACTATGTTGACAAGGCTGGTATCAAATTCCTGGCCTCAAGCAATTCTATCTCCTCAGCCAATCAATATGCCAGGAATACAGGCATGAGACACCGTGCCTGGCCAGCGCCTTTATAATGTTTTATTCTCCCAAGTTCTTCTCAAAAAAGTCAACATCCACCAAGTATCAGCTGAGATTTGAACTTCAACCCTGGGCTGAACTCAGTGGCAGGACTCTCCATTCCCAACAAGGGACAAATGGAGAAATAAATGGTGAGAGGGAGGAGCTTGATTCTGCCCATGCTAATTGGACACCTATTGTGTGCTAGGAAGACACACAGAGGTCAATCCAAATTCCAGCTCCAGCCAGAGCAGGACAGCCATGGTGTAGAAGGCCAAGCCCAGAGGAGGGAGACTTAGCAAGCGGAGCACCCCTGCATGGAGTATTGACACTCTGTTACTTCAGTTATACTGAAAACTAGTAGAAGGTATGAGATGTTGCACTCAACCATTATGAGCAAGAAAATCCATTCAATCTTCTTTAATTTGGTTAAAACTAACCTTTACTAAAAGGCAGCAAAGAATAATGCTTGCCTGTGAGAATTTACAAACATCATAGCAAACCACTCCGTTCTCAGTTTAAGAGGGAAGGCGAAAGGCTTGTGTGGGAGAATAAGAAAAAACATATTTATGTAATACTTTGAGTTTCTATTGCTCCTAACCACCATTGCTACATAATTATTCCAAAATATAGCTCTTATTTATCCATCCTACTGTTAAAAAGTACCTCACTGATTCTGTAACCCCCAACTAATCCACCCTATAGTCCCTAGATGACCACAGAGGCCTATTATCCTCTGCTTTTTACTGTCACTCTCCCCAGTCCAGCAAACTCATTCCTCTTCCTGCATAAGCCTCCTGTGTTTCTGCCCTTTTTTATCTGCACCCTCTGCTGAGATTCTTTTGTCTTCACCCATCCCAAAGCCATCCATACTTCCACTGCTTGACTAGGGGTAATTATCTCATTCACCCAGCCTAATTTTTAATCTTACCTTCCTGCTCCCACCCTCTCTTCACTCTGAACAAGATTTTACTAGGTTGTTGTTATGTTCTGGGGTTCGGAGAATCTGACTAGTGTGAGTTTCCCAAGGTAAAGGTAATGCCTTAATAATTTTCACTTTAATTGCTGTTTGCGCAGTGTTTTGCACAAAATTTAACACAATAATTGCTCCCGGAGTAAATGCATAAATCTTTGTAATATCCTATTTGGCTCCCTTAGAGTCTGAAACTTTTCCCCTTCAACCATCCAGAGTCCTGTCTAACCAAAGTGAAAATGGGGAACTCCCTCTTTCTGGCTGGCATCACTGCTGAGAATGGAAATAAATGCTGTCTATGCCAACTCCCTAGAACAAGTATAGGTTTCATCTAGACTAGTTTTCAAAATGAGGAAACAGGATGCAGACAAATACTTTATTCCCACTTTTTGGCCTGGGGTTTATTAACAAGGTGAAATTATACAGAAGAATAAATTAGTTTAGCTGAGAAAAGAAAAAATGTATAGTTAATGGAGGGAAAAAATTGAAAATGCAATAAAACCAGAAGATGTTCAGGAATTCAAAGTAGTTGATGCATAGAAATGCTACTGATTTTTGTACATTGGTTTTGTGTCCTAAAACTTTACTTGCTTATCCGTTTCAGGAGGCTTTTCAAGTTTTCCCCAAAAGTAGTTTTGGAGAGGCTTTAGCATTCTCTACGTAGTGACTCATATTGCAAATGGAGAAAGAGAATTCAATTTCTTTTTCTATTTGTATGCCTTTTTCTTTTCTATTGGCCGATTGCTGTGGATAGGACTTTTAAATCTAATTAAATTGTATTTGTTAGATTTTTGTATATTTTAATATGTCTCCAATTAATTTTATATCTGTATAATGTCCCCTTATAAAGGAATATGTAGCTGTTTTATTTAGTTATTTTATTATTGATGCACATTTGAGTATTTTTCAGTTTGGAAAAGTACCAAATAATGCTACTTCGAGCACTTTACTACATTGGAAAATATGCTGGCAATTCTATTGGGTGTATATACCTAGTAGCAGAGTTGCTGGGTTCTAGAGTGTGCTTATGTACATCGTGTATGTAAGGAGTTACTACTCAAGTGGTTTTGAATGTGGTTATAACAGTTTGCACACAGAATGGTATAAGAAAGTTCCAGTTGCTTGACATCATCACTAGTACTTAATTTTGTCAGTTTTCAAAAATGTTAATGATTGCATAGTGGTATTCAATTGTAGTTTTCATATGCATTGTTCTGATGCATAAGAATGTGGATATGTTCATCTACTTGTTGGCCCTTCGGTTCTGTATGTGGAACTCCTAGTCATATCTTTGCCAATTTTGTTCAATGTATGCATCTTTGTTTATTAAGTGATGGGATTTAGCTTAATAATCTAGATAAAAAGCTTTTGCCAGATCAATATATGACAAATGTTGATTTCCACTTTGTTCTTGCCTTTCAGCTCTCCTGAAGCTTTTTTTTTTTATGAAGAGAAGGTTTTAATTCTAATAAAGTCCAATTTGTCATATTTTTGTCTTGATAATTTATGCATTTTGTGTCCCAAGAAATCTTGGCCTGTGCCAAAGTCATGGACATACTTATCTATGTTATCTACTAGAAATATTGTTTTCAATTTTCACCTTAAAATTTAAAATCCACTTGTCTCGAAATTTGTTAACAATATAAGATAGGTTTATTTCTTTCTCACATAAATAACCAGATGACCCAAGGCTAATTACCGAGATGCTGTCTTCTCTCCACTGCTCTTCTGTGCCTGTTTTGTAATATACAAAATGTCTAAATGTGTGAGTCTGAGTTGGACTCTCGAGTTTTTCTAGTTTTCTTTGTGCCTATTTTTGCATTACTACCATAGATAGCTTTTATTACTATAGCTTTAATCTAAGTCTGAATATATGGCATTGGAAGCTCACAAACTTTGTCATTCTTCAGGACAGTTTTTACAGTTCTTTGATTTTTTAATATGTATTTAAATTTTAAACTGATTAGACAGTTTCCACAAGATTTCTGCCAAAATATTGTATTGTGAAAATGGAAATCAATAAATCAATTTGGGGAGAAACACTAATAACATCTAAACCAAACTTAAAGAGAACACCACAATAAGAAAAGAAATTGCAAAATTGGAATAAATATTTTCAACACATGAAATTACAAAGGGGCTCATGTTTCCATGAAGAGCACTCTCTCTCTCCCTCTCTCTCTCTCTCTTTTTTTTTTTTTTTTTACAGAGACTCACTCTGTCACCCAGTCTGGAGTGCAGTCGTGCAATCTCGGCTCACTGCAACCTCCGCCTCCCAAGTTTCAGCAATTCTTCTGTCTCAGCCTCCTGAGTAGCTGGGGCTACAGGCTTGAGCCACCATTCCCCGCTAATTTTTTTGTAAGTTTAGTAGAGACGGATTTTCACCAGGTTCGCCAGGCTGGTTTTGAACTCCTGACCTCAAATAATCCACCTGCCTCATCCTCCCAAAGTGTTGAAATTACAGGTGCGAGGCACCACAACTGACCTGTAAAGACCTCTTAAAAATTAGTTAAAAAAACAAACAAAACAGAAAAGGAGAAAGAAGAAACATCCACTCAGTTAAAAAAAAAAAGAAAAAGAAAAGAAAAGAAAAAAAGGCAAAAGACATTATTTTACAGGTCTAGTGCCCTGTGCCCCTCACTGTAATGGGGGTGGATATGGGCTTCACAGGACATGAAATTCATCAAACAGTTGCTGGTTGAAGGTGGGAAAATCTTGCGGGACCGACCTCAAGAGCAGATCCTGTGGTGCACTGTTTCATCCTGTAGCCCTGGAAAGAAAACCTGGCTGTGCCGTGCTTTATGTTTGCCTGCACTGGCCCTGTTCAGAGGCCTGAGCACGCATGGACACCTAAGTCTGCTCAAACTTTCCCCATCCCAATATTCTCTGTGGTATTGAGCATGACAAAATGTCTTCACTGAGCATGTGCTCATACAGTTTTGTAGCCAACTCTTCATTTTACAACAGGAAGACTGAGACCCCCAAAAAAGGCAAAGACTGGTTCAGATCCCAGAAATTGGGCAGAGCACAGAGTATTAGGGAGGGATCCAGCTTCCTAGGCCTTGCATGCACCCCACCCATCAGGTTTGCTTTGGAAATGAGAGCCCATGAGTCCTGGAAAACCCTGTGCTCTACTTTCTACCTGGGCTTTCTACTCTTCAATGTTGTCACGTAGGCGTGCAGGCATGCACACACAAACACGTCACACACACACACACACACACAGGCTTCTAAAGTGGAGATCTAAAGTGGAGATTCTAAAGTGAGGCTATGGAAGAGGAAACCAAAGAAGTGACAAAAGGGGAAGAAACAGTAGATGCAGCTTTGCCATGAGGCAGAGGCATCCACTCCCCCAGCTACATGACCAGGAGCTGACAGCATGGGATGAAGGATCCTCCAGGTTCCCTGGGTTCTTCCAAGCCTGGGGACCTTCCCAGCTGTTTCAAAAGGACAGGACTGGGGTTGTGACTCCCACTTCTGTGGGCACCTGGAACTAAAATGAGCTATGCCCTCCACCCACTACCCCGTGTGATATAAAGAGAGGCTACCACAAAGAAAGCCTTTGTTTTCTCCCTCATAAATAGGGGTACTCAGAAGGAATAATACCAAGGATTCTAGATACTCATAGGTGTCTGCTGCCCTTGGCTCTTCATTGGTAAATCACTGTGCTTTGAGACTCTGGGAAGAGGCTTTTCAGTTTCTAGAGGTCCTTCAGAGAAGAGAGAGGCCTAGAGACTTGGGCGGATGAGGACTTGGAATAAAGCAGAATGTGACAATGCACTGGGCTCTGGAGTGTGGGGCCCAGAAAAAATACTAGTTTTTTGGGTTGTCCTTGAGGTCCTCATTCGGAAGTGGAAGAAAATAATGTCGCCGAATGCTGTTAAAATGTTTAATGAGTGCACAGCACACCCAAAGAGGCTGAGGAAAATAGGAATCAAGGGAGGCTTCCGAGGTCACTTTTATGGCCCTTGGAGCCTTCAGATACTGCTCCTTTTCCCAGGGGTCCCTGAATAGCCACTGCCTTGAGAATTCCCCAATGCAGGTACCTGTTTTGTGATGCTTCCACCTGGGACTTCAGTGCTAGTGGAGATCTCTAGGTGGCGGCAGACCCCGTGTTTCTTATGCCAGCTGGACTTTACTGGAGTAGCTGGAGCCGGGGGAGAGACAGGCTGAGGTCCTGCACCTCCTGTTATCATTCTTGATCTCCACATTATTGGGTGACCGAAAGCAGGAAGGACTTTGTGATTTTCCATGTTATTTTACTCAGCGGCTCTTCCCCTAGCACTCACCCTGTGGCAGCTACCTTGGTAGGTTCACCATGTGGTACCAAAAATGATTATGTTATCCCTGCCTCCCGGCGGGAGCCCACAGTCTGAGGACAGCAGGACAAAAACACTAAAGCAAGTACATGTGAAAGAAAAGAGCATTTTATAATGGAAATAAAGTAGAATGTTGGGAGGGAGGGCTGGGGAGAGGTTGCCTGGAGGGGACATGAATACCTCACTGAGCTGACATTATGTTGTGACCAGAATGACAACTGCGCAGTTGTGGAAAGTGTGTCAGGGAAAAGCCACTCTTTGTGAAAAGACTCAGAAGCAAATGTCAGTTTAGCAGAGGAGGTTATAAAGGGACAAGTGTGGCTGCAGGCAGCCTGAGAAAGAAAGGAACAGAGGGGAGGGTGTATCCTGGGGCCTGAAAGAGGAGGTTAGTCATTTGCCCGTCTCTGACAACATTGCTCTGAATTTTACCACATTTTGACAACAAATACTATCTCACATTTTCGTGAACCAGAATCTCGATATAGCTTAGTTGGGTGCCTCTGCCTCAAGGTCCCCTATGAGGCTGGGGCTGTGATTTCAACTGAAGCTGGATTTGGGGAGAGATCAGCCTCCAATCTGCCTCATGGAAATTGGCAAGATTCAGTGTGAACTGAGAACCCCAGTTTCTTCCTTTTGATTGGCCTGGGCAGTTCCTCAGTTCTCTATCATGTGGGTCTGTGCCTAGAGCATCTTAGGACACTGGAGATCGCTTCCTCATCTTGAAGAATACAATAGAGAGATGGAAAATGAAAGAGATAGACAGACATATGCACAGAAAAAGAGAAAGGGAGACAGAGAGATTGAGAGATGAAACACAGGACAGAGCAAGTGGGAGGAAAATAATAGCTGTTTTAGAAATATAACTTTGGAAGTTGCAGTAGACTATGTGATTCCCCACCATATTCACATTCCAGAACATTAATCCCCAGTGTAATGGCCTTAGCAGGTCAGAGGTAATTAAGTCCTAAGCATGAGGCCCTCGTGATAGAGATTACTGGCTTTGTAAAAGAAACTGCAGAAGGCTGTCTCTCCCTCTCTCTGCTAAATGAGAATACAACCTGAAGTCTGGAGTTTGAAACTCAGAAGAGAGTCCTTACCAGACCCCAACCATGCTGGAAGCCTATCTCAAATTTCTAGCCTCCAGAACTAAATTCTTTTGTTTATAAGTTGCGTAGTCTATGTTTTTTGGTATAGAAGTCTGAACTAAGTCAGAAGTGATAACCTATCACATTTGTTGTATTCTCTTTGACAGAAACTAGAAACAGGTCCCCAAAGAGTTCAACCAATGACTAGCAGAAATTCTTCAGTTTGCAGAATGACGGATAAGAAAAGATAGAACTTGTCGAAAGACTGAAATTTATTCCACTTATGAGACTTCTAAAAAGTGGCTAAAATTGGTCGGAACCAATATGGTCAACTGGAGTCTGTGTGAAATAAGCTCACTGATGTAAGAGCCCAAATTTCCATCACATGTTTTGTACTAACTGTCCCCAAATTTGCACATGACCTGTGTGTAGCAAGAAAAGATGGCTGTTCATGCCCAGTGACTTTCCATACATTTTTCCTTTCAGCAATTCCCTGCTAAACAAGAAGCCACCTCCTAAACCTTTCTGAGAATATTACTACCTTTAAGTAAGCACAGGGAAAGAGGCTTCAGCTGGAATCCAACGTCTCTGTTGGAAACCCGGTGTTATAGTATCGGCTTCTGAGGCACTGAGCGGTGAGCTGCGTTTTTAAATAACAGAGTCACTCACAACTTAGTGTTGTTGTGAGACTTTGTTGGGGGCGCCCACCACATAGGCTGAGATGAGGCATATACATGTGATTCCAAATATAATGCACAGCACTGGAATATTTAATGCCAGAAGACAGTATCTGATTTTCTTTTGATTTCAACCTCTTCTGCTGTAGAATGGAAAAATAAGGCCATATATATAAAATATATATCTTTTATGTATACAGATATATGAAATATGTATCTTTTATACATAAAGGTGTATATGTATAAGTTTATATATTATATATAATATATAAATATATTTTATATATATATATATATATATATACATAGTATATATATTTTTTTGAGACACAGTCTCGCTCTGTCACCCAGGCTGGAGTGCAGAGGCACGATCATGGCTTAATGTAATTTCTGCTTCCTGGGCTCAAGTGATTCTTACACCTCAGCCTCCTGAGTGGCTGGGATTACAGGCATGCATCAACACACCTGGCTAATTTTTGGATTTTTAGTAGAGAAGGGTTTTTGCCATGCTGGCCATGGCTGGTTTCAAACCCCTGGCCTTAAGTGTTCCACCCGTCGTCTTGGTCTACCAATCTGCTAAGATTACAGGCAAGAGCCACTGCATCCAACCGATTTTGATTCATTCTATCTCATATATCACCAAAGACTGTTTTTGGAAGTTGATGTTAGCATAATCCCATTATGCATACTTCAGGGCTGGGGAGACCTGAAGCACACAGTCATTTTCATATGGTCACAGAAATGAAAAGGAAAAGAAGATTTTAACCCAACTCTGTTCTCTCAAACCTGGGGCCCTGGCTGTATTTAGATCTTTTTGGGGAGTAAGGGGCATAATTGTGTTTGCATAACTGTTTACAGGAAAAGAGTTGACATGGGAGATTAGGGTGAGCAATCAGCAGCCCAGCAGGGCCTTCGCATAGATTTATGGAGGAAAAGTGCTCAGGGGATAAAACCTTGAAGAAGTTAACAGACTTCCCTTGTGACAGAACCTAACAGAATTTAGAACTTTGGGAACCAGACACCCACATTCTAGAGACAGCCCTGTATCTAGCTAATTTCATGGGAGATGCTTGAGAGATCACTGTGTTCTCATTGTGTGCTATATTCCTAATCTGTTGCCTGAGAAAGGCTCAAAGTGAGAGCCTTTTCTGGCAATATACATATTGGATCAGCCCACATCCTTGATACCACTGGCCATTCGACAAGAGGCAAACACAGGTAACACAGTGAAGCCCAGGTCAGGTCCGTCCATGCCAGGCCAACCGTCTCATCTAATCTGGGCAACCCGACCCTGCCTACCATTATCATGTGTTGCAGGGGGAGCAGGAAAGGAGGGGGCTCTTTCTCACAGGGGCAGGTTGTAAGGCATTGGAACCCTGGCGGGTATGTCATGTTCGTACCCAGGTCATGGCTGGTGGAATAAAAAGTTGAGCATTGTGGACCAAGTGTGTCTACTCAGATGTGAATCCCAAGGCCTTAAGCTGTCCTCGGGTTTCCTCATTGGCTGGGGGTCTATGCAGATACTCCTATGTTCCTGATCTAGGAAACAGAATTTCTAATGGAGATGTTACCTGGTGGTAAAAACAAAGGAGATAATTAATTTTTTTTCTTTTTTCTTTTTGTTTTTTCTGCTTCGCTGCTGGGAACACTCTTTGTAGAGTTTCATTAAAATCATTGAGCAGGTATTTGATGGGTTCAAGTCCCCCAACTCCTTGGACTACTGGCAGGTTCACCACACCCCCAAGCATGGCATACAGTGAGTTATGGTGAGAGCAGGCACATGGGGATCTCTACAGACAGGGGTCTGACAAAACCAGGATGGGCCCAGGATCCAGACCCAAATATGGAATTTCTCTGCGCTTTCTCTTAGGGGATTTCCATGAGTGACCCAAAGATCTGCCTCCCAAAAATCTAGCCTTAACTAGTCCCAAAGGCAACTTGGTTAAGTGTAAAGTCCCTTTTTACATTCTTGTAGAAATATCAGAGAAGACCTTTGTGTTGTTTTTACTTTACACTAGGCTGTATTTATTCATGTTACTACAGTTGGTATGGTTTTAATTATTCCCCCTGGTATCACCTGTAGCAGGCAGCTTCACGGCACTGCCAGACCTTCCCCAAGACATCAAAGCCACCACTATCATTAATACTCTAGAAAAATAGGGAAGAGTTTACATGAAAAGGGGGTTATACTGTTCCCTGCATTTGTGTGCAATGTGTCATCTCAGAGAACACATCCCTCTAGCCCATCAGGGCAGAAGTGGTGCCCTCACATATCTTTGTAATGTTCTATAATGGGGGTCACTTCCCAGAGTGGTTTAGCCTTTCAGTGACTATTATTTCTGATCAAAATGGAATAAAACTAGAAATGAATAACAGAAGAAAACAAAAATAGCAACATATATATGGAAATTAAACAACTCACTTTTGAGCATGCTCATGTTTAAGGGTTGTAAGACTTGATATTATGAAGAATGCTCATGATGCCTAAAGCGAGTTACAGATTCAATGCAATCCCTTTTAAATTAGCAATTTTTTTGAAATAGAAAAAGGAACCAACAAATTATGTGGAATGTCAAGCGACCATAAAGAGCCCAAAAATGTTTTAAAAAAAAACAATGTTAGCGGCCTCAACTTTTCTGATTTCAAAGCACATTACAAAGCAACAGCAATGAAAACAGTTTGTTTCTAGCATAAAGACAGACAATTTTTCCAATAAAACAGAAGGTAGCACAGACGTAAACCTCGCACATATGAGCAAATAGTTATTTGCATACCCATATTCGTTGCAGCATTATTCAGAAAGGCCAATAGGTGAAAGCAACACAAACTTTCCTCATAGAATGAATAAATAAATATAATTTGTAATACAAAAGTAATGGAATATTACTCAGCTTTTAAAGGCAGAAAATCTTGTAGCATCCACAATAAAGAGAAATCTTGAGAACATGATGCTAAGTAAAATTAGTCACAATAAAACAGATACTCTATGATTCTACTTATATGTAATATCTAAAGTATTGAAACTTAGAACCAGAAAATAGAATGATTTTTATCATGAGCCAGGTGGTAAGGAAAATAGGTAGTTGTCATTTCATGTGTACTGAGTTTCAGTTTTGCAAAAGAAAAAAGTTTTCAAATATGTTGCAAAGCAATGTAAATACATTAACATGACTGAACTGTATAAGAAAAAATGTTAAAGATTCTAAATTTTATGTTATGTATTTTTACCACAATCGAAATTAAAAATGACACCCAATGGCCAAGAGAGATGGCTCATGCCTGTAATCTCAGCACTCTGGGAGGCTGAGGCATGCAGATTACTTGAGGCCATGAGTTCAAGACCAGCCTGGCCAACATGGTGAAACCCCAGCTCTATGAAAAACACAAAAATTAACCAGGCGTGGTGGTGCACACTTTTAATGCCAGCTACTCAAGAGGCAGCAGCTGGAGAATTGCTTTAACCTGGGAGGTGGAGGTTGCAGTGAGCCAAGATTGTGCCACTGCACTTTGGCGACAGGGTGAGAGTCTGTCAAAAAATAAATAAATAAGTAAAGACACCCGAAGAGAGAGAGTTACAAAGTTTTTGAAAAATTATCTTCAAATCGCATAAGTCTTTCTTTCACACTAGGATAATATAAACAATAGATGTTGAAATTAAGACAATTTCCATGATTACTCACTTAGACAGAATCAATTATTGGCCATCAAACAAGAAGAAAATGCACAAGTCATAAACAAAATAGGGGCAATATTTATACAAGCAAACAAACAATTAAATCATTATATTAACAAAAGACCATAGGGATGGTTCATATTTTTTGCCTCACACTGTCTTGAAGTGTACAGATTTGAATATTGTCATAGAAAATTATATTATATAAATTCAAACTAAAAACAATAAACTGATGTAAGGTGCCCTACCCTAAAACATGAAACACAGAAATGCAAAATTGCAAAACAAACTTAAAAGAAACCTTCCCCGAATTCTTACTTGAATAATGTAATTCAAAATCATAATAAATAGGTAGAAAGTAAAAACACAATTAACTGCTGTGAGACAGCCTACTCTAAAAAATACAGAAACATAAATTCTAAAACATAATTAAGAGAAACTTTGATCTATAAAATCCTGAATAAACATAGTGTCCAACTGAAAAAGAATCCTAGGTAACTACAATTTTCAACTCTTCCTTTGAATCCGTAAAAAGTATAAATTTTGAATTATTTGGATACAATTAGGGCAACAACATTTCAAAGAAACCATATTATAATTATTAGAAAGAGATGTGATGAGAAAGTTTTAAGAAATAAAAATTTAAGTAATACTAGAGAAAGTTTTAAATTATGCTACTGATGCATTGCTGCTTTCCTTACACAAAAGGGTAAGGCTGTAATCTAGCCTTTAATAGAAAGGTCTTACATTTTTACATATGGTGACAATATAAATATTGTAAATACAGTATAAAACATTGACAGATAAAATAAAAACTGGAAATAAATTGTACTATTAGTCAAATAAAAGTTGGGAAAACTGGAAGAAAATGCTAATAGTAACATTGTGCCTAGAGTCAATTAAACATACAAGCCAAATATTTTAATAATTAATTATATAATTGATACATAACATATACATTTGGGCATGCTGTTTTACAACTTCTCAAACTGAAATTACAGAAAAATGTGACACATGATAATTCAGAAAGTGAAAACACAGTCATAGTAATCTTCATATTAAAGAAAACAGAATCATAAAATAATAAGTGAGAAATAAGGTAATAATTGTGAATTCAATATATGTTGAACAATATTCTAATTTCCCTTACGGAAAAAGTTTTTGTAAGAAATCTGTAAAATGAGTACTTACAATAAACCATCCTACAGTAGAGGCTGTTGGCATACAGTGTTTAAATTTCTATGATTAGGTCCTACTAAGGAAAAGAAAATTTTAAAATAAAATAATTAGATTTTCCTATTTAATAAGATAATTTTTGCCTATAAAGTTTTTCAGTCTAATTTTTTTGTAGAATTAGGTTTTAGCTTTCATAAAACTTGACATTATGAAGCAGAAAACAGGTGTCATCTGTCTCTGTTGTTCCTATAATTTCTAACCCAAATGCCAATTCCTCCACAACTCCCCTCACACACTTCTGAATTGAAGCAGAACAGATTTATTAAAAATGGCATAACAGCGGTCTCCAGAAATGTGCAGAGATTTTCCCAGATCCCCAAAAGCAATGACAAACTATTCAGATCATTTAGGTTCTCACAAGATTCTGGGAGGACTTCGGCTTTCAGTGTGAATGCACTGGAAGATTCTAAGAGAGAGGGAGAGAGAGAGAATGTGTGTGTGTGCTTGTGTGTGTGTGTGTGTGTGTGTTGAAATCAGAACTCCACCTTATGTGTTTATTGTGGAATTTGGAAATGAAAGCCTAAAGCCCAAAATTAAAATCACACATGATAGCACGTTGCAAACTGTTTTCTGTGCTAGATGGGTCGTTCTAGGGTGTAGGACCCTGGTAACACCGTTTTCCCCTCCTTCCGGAAAGAGCTACTCACACTGCTCAAAGCCTGCATCCACATGTACCATGTCAAAGACCAGCTCAAGAGCCTGGACCCATATGCCACCTTCAGCAGGGTTGACTGCAGCTCCTTGTTCTTCCTGAGCATCTTCTCCAATGGTGACCTGAGAGTTGCGGGAGGCATTGGGGCCAGGATTGAACAGAGGAAAAAGGAGCATGGAGGCCAGGTGCTGAGGACCAGGCCATCTTACCTGGAGAGTTCTGGCCCTGAGACATCCAGACCAACATGACGTTTAGGTGCAGACAGCTGGCCCTGGGTGGCCCTGTGCTGATCACCGGCCTCGGCCCCTCAAACAGTGGGAAATGGAAGAATGGCTTGGAAATGGGTCCTGTCGACTGTGTGTCATCTGAGCACATTCTCCCAGGGGCCCAAGAAGGGCCATCGTGTCTCCAGAACCAGAACTGGAAGGTAAACTGTCAGGGGGGACAAGGAAGAGGGTCCTCAGTTGGGTGGAGGGTCTCACAGCAAGACGCCTGGCTTAATCAAGCTTGGCCATTCCTGAAGCACGTTCAGTGACTAAAAGTGCCTACCATGAGCAGCTGGAACCCACTCCCTGAGAGCTGCAAGATCCATGGGGACCTCATGTACCTGTTTGTAATTACAGCCAAGGACCAGCAGGCAGCATTACCGCATCCACATGGGGCTTTTGCTGGACACAGTAAGTCTCTGCCAGCCCCTCCCAGGCTCCTGGGATGCCACTTGTTCTGGATCTGTGGACAGATAACCAGGATACTTGCTCAGTGTCTGTCCACTCCTTGTGGCCTGAAGCCTATCGCTCAACCCTAGCCCCACCAGACCTGCTTCCTAAGGCATTCCTCATGCCAGAAGGAAAGGCAATGACTTTGTCCCACAGCCCCTGCCTTGTGTCATGTCATGTGGGGGTATGGAATGAATCGGCAGCCGAAACTCCTGTCCTTCTGCCTGAGAATTCTATCTTCTCTGTCTGAGTTACCCTCTAGGGAGCTGTCAGTGGGAGAGAGAGCAGCTGTGGAAGAGAGTCCCACCTGCTTCTGTTTGACTTCAGGGCAGCCTCTCAGGGCAAGAACCCAGAGCAGGTGGAGGCCTCAAAGAAGCCTGTGGCAGGGCTCTGGGCTTGATGGGCTGAGCATCTCCCTATCTGCTGCCTGCAATGGGGCCCAGAACCATCCATTCAAGAGGGTCACCACCATATTGCAGGTGTGCAGCTGGATGGTTCCCAAGGCAGAGGCTGCCATGGACTGCAAGCACACAGAGGATGTACACCTTGAGGGTGGACTATGAGGAGAATATTTTTGAAGAGGTGCATGCAGCCTGGCCCTGCCTTCACTGGGAACCCCCTTCCTTCTGGGTACTAGACAGAATTCTGTACACTTTCCTGGAGGCTCCATTCTGGTCTGTTCATTTGGAAGTTTCAGGCTGTCTGTGAGGAAGTAAAAAAAGAGATGTCTCAAAGCAGGTTGTGGGGCACAGGCTGAGCCCTTGTCTCCCTCCCTAGTCCCTCTGCAGACACGGGGCTGGAAGAAGGACCTGTGGATAATAAGGGAACTGCTCTTCGAGAACCGGCCTGAGCAGCTGCTTCAAGAAAGAGCCACATTAAAGGTGCCTATAGCCCCTGATGAGGGAATGGCAGCCTCAGGCCCGCCTGCCATCTGTGAGCAGGTTTTCTTCCTAACAGGATGAAAGCAAAGAAAGCTGGAATGAGACCAGCCCTCTCAGGCAGCTTGAAGGCTATTGGGGCTCTTTCCAGGCCTTCTAGCCTTATGCTTTTTGGCAGGCCACTTAGGCACCTTTTTCCAGCCTCTGAGACTTCCATGCTCTGGAAGGAGAGGGTCCCACTTTTCACTAGGCTATGGGGCAGGCCCATCCAGCTCCCGGCTGCCACTAACAACCATGGGGCTCTCACCTGGGCACCCACTGCCCAAACATGGCCCTTCTAAGGCAGAAGATCATGTGTCTTGCAGTTTCAGCTTGCTAGGGCTTAAAAGTTATCAGTGCTGTTATTAAGATAGGGAAGTGAGAAAGGAAAACTTGCTGTAAAAGTTTCCCATAATCTTACCACGGAGATCATCAGCACAGATGACAGCACAGGTGGGGCTGCTGGGGAGGCTGAGGGAGAGTGTCCAGCCTGTTCTGCCAGCTGGTCCTTGTCAGGGGTGTCTCGTGACCCAGTCCCTTAGAGAAGCATGCAGATATCTTAGCAAGTATCTGGAAGGTGCAGATCAGGGCAACCCAGCACCACTGATGGTGGAGTGGGCCTACCTCCCATCAAGCTGTGTCTCCACAGCTGACCCTTGAAGCCAGGAGGTGATTTACAACATGTGCAAGGCAGTGAGCTCCATCAGCTGTGTGGCCTTCAACATTCACTTCAACTCGGACATCTCACCAGAAAGCAGTGGGGACTGGCCAATGCAGAAGCCTGCAAAGTGGAACAGAGCTTCATGGGGTGGGGGATGTGGGGCCTGCCTGCTCATCTGAGCACTGCTCCCTGAGGGTGTGATCTGCAGGCTTCCTGAAGGAGGGCTGTGAGCTCATCTGCGAGGCCCTGAGCCTGTGGAACATGCCTGAGGCCAAGCCCATGGGGATTTGTGTCTACTTGCACCTCCTTGCTCATCTCAGTACACTACAGGTGACTGTGCCGAGGTGGGCCTTGAGCATCCCCTGGGCTGTGTTAGCAAAGGACTCTGGACCTGGCCTGGCATTGAGGGATGGCAAATAAGGGGCCTGGGGTTGCATTGTCACCCGCTATGGTAGCATAAAATAAGAGAGTCCGACCTGCAGGACTGGAACCCTATCAAGGGGGTTAGGAGGCTGCTCACTTTCCCTCAGGGACCCATGTGGAGGAGCTGAGGGAGGTTAAGGAGACCCTAGGGACTCACTTGTTCTGTCTGGGCTTCCCCCTGCTCCATCGTTTGATGACCATTTTCTGGGAAAAGCTCAGGAACCTCCTGTGCTCTAGTGAGACGGGGCCTCCCCTCACAGGGTTTTCTGAGACTGTGAGTGAGAAGCTAACACAGTGCCTTGCAATACTCATGGGGGCTGTCATCCTCTGTGACCATCACGTGGCCTTCTAGTGTTCAGACTGCCTGGCCTGCCTGGGGTTTGGTGAGGCTGTTTTGTGGTCAGCTGCTTTAGAAGCTCACTTTCTCTGCAATCAAACAGTGACTGTCTTCGTGTCTGTTTATGGGTTTAAAAAATCCTAATATTTCATTTATAGTAGTTTCAGCTTGCATGTGTTTATTTGTATAAATTTTATTAGAATAAAGAGAGCTTAAGACAACAGCATTTTAAGGTCTTAATGAGGCATAGACTTTCATGTCACAACAGCTATTGTTGACTTCTGTTTGCTACCTTTGTGTAATGTATACACATAAAGTACAGCCAGATGTGACTAGAGCTGAGCTGCTTGGGCTTGCTTGCTGGCCTGCAGTCAGGTGGACTCTGGCTGTGAGGCAGTGCCCACCCTGGATCTACATCCCCCACCCTCTCTCCTTAGTCCCTGAGTAACCAACAAGGCCGTGCTAATGAGCGGGCAAGTGATGGGCATCGGGTACCCCAATACTATCTGGGAAGATTTGAATGCCATCTGGGCTGGAGCTGTTGGGATTAGGGTCTGTGGTTGCCTTGGCTTGTCATGGTGCCACCCACAGATGTGCCTGCCCTGTGCTGCTTCTCCAGCAACCGGCTGCCCATGGCCCTGAGCCTGTCACACCATTCTTGCTACCTCATGCTGCTTGTGTTTGAAAAACCCATCCAGAGATGGCATTGCTGGATGTGAGTGCTGAAAAGAGGGCAGCACCTTTGTCCTGGGGGATTAGGAGCTGACCAGATTCCTCCTGACTCTCTCCCAGAACAAGTGGGGCAGGTGCTGCAATTAATGATGCCCCCCAGAAGATGTGTTTACACTGGCTGAGCGAATACACGATGCAGAGACCTAAATGAAGACACGTGAATGGGGTGTATGGACATCAGTTAGCAACTGGGAAACAGGTGCCTCTCAGGCCTCTCGTGCTCCAGCAAGTGTGGAATATGCCTGTGCCCATGAGTGTAGACATCTGGAGTGTATACATTTGGCTGCCGCTTTTGCTGCCACTATCCCCAGGTCCAACCTGGCTTAAAGTCTAGGTTTTAAGTAAAAAAATAGGAGGCTTTTTGCCATACAGCTACTTGAGAGGCTGAGGTGAAAGCATCACTGGAGCCTAAGAGTTTGAGGCTGCAGTGACCCATGATTCAGTCACTGCACTGACACAGTGAGACCTGCATGTGCCCTTCTACAGAGAATAGCTCTGGGGCATTTGGGGATCCCTACAGTCCGGGACATCTCCCTGTCCCCTGCTGCCTGTGCTTCTTCCCTTGCCTGCTGTCAGAGCCTAACATGGAGGAGGAGGTTGCTGCCCTGTGAGCCTGAGGGAGCTGTGTCTGACTGGGGCTTCTGTCTGGGGTTTTGCGAAGAGCTACTTATGAGTATGGTCTGTCCAGATACCTTGTTTCAAAGGAAGTGAGCATGAGCTAGCAAGTGTAGCCACCCCACAGCTGATAAACAACTTTGTCTTGTTTTTAAATCATCAATCTTCATTTCACATTGGAATAAAGTAAGTGAAACCTGCTACCCCAGCCTCGCCCGTGTGTTCTGTAACCCAGACTCATTTCGTTGTGTGGGCTGTTGTCAGAAATGTTATAAAAAAATATGCATAAATAAGATCAAATGTAAAAGTATGCTTATAATGTCACTTGAGTGGGTGGTAAGAGGGTAGAGTCACAGGAAATCTGTTGGCGTTTACACCCCTGATACTTACCAAGCTCATGAGAGTGTGGCAAAGGTGATCATCACCTGATATTTGTGGCAGAAGAGAAAAGTCCAGCGTGAAGGCCAGGTAGGGGAGAGGTGCCAGGCTGTGGGGCCAGGCCCTGCGCATGCTGGGCCTGTTATGTCACTGAACATCTAACTGCCCGGGAAACGGCTCTTTTCACATCATCTGAGGTAAGAGGATGGAGAAGCACTCTCCAGAAGTCACACTGCGCTGGGAGAATGGAGGAGAGCCTACAACTCGCCATCCTAAGGTAGGTTTTAGATTGAGCTGGACTGTCTTCGAGAGCTAATGAGATGGGAGGAAGACAGTCCCCCAGGTGCACCTGACAGCCAGAGCCTATGAAGTTAGGGGGGTTGTGTGGGGGTGGCCTGTCCCTATGAGAGGAGGATCTTAAAGCTACTAAATCTGGTGGCTGCTACTCTGCCATCCCTCTACAGAGCAGGCAGGTCCTCAGCTGCATGTATAGCTGAATGTCTTTTTGAGTGTTAGAGAGTCCCCTATGTCTTAGAAATTTTGAAAAGAAAAACAAATCTCAATTTTAATGTTGATTAGTTTCTCTGAGCCAGTTGGGAAAAAAGATGTCCTTCACCTCAAAGGTTTAAGTGACACCGAAGGGTAGTCACCAGTGTCTCGGCCACTGAAGCCTCATGCATGCTCTCACTACCAGTTTGATTTGCAGCCCCATAGTTGTGTTGTACTAAATATTCTTTCCTCTGGCCTTGTCCAGTGAACACGGTTCACATGGCTAACACCACTTCTTGAGATGCGAGCACCATGCAAAGCTGAGAACGGATTGGGTTTTGTGACCATTGTGCCTCCTCCTCACCTGAGAGGCCCATTTTTCCTGGTTGATTCATTAAGTGTATTAGTGCTGTCAGTCGCCTCTGGACAATTCAAATGACAAGTGGCTGTTGATTCATAAAGAAAATGAAGGCTTTAGATGTGAAACCCTCGTTTTCTCTTGTCCTTCTCTTAGGTGAAAGATTTTATTTTTTTCAAAAGGCTACATACTGGTATCCCAGCAGGTGTAGTGTGAGAACTGGCATATGTTAGGCTATGGTTTCAGTGTGGATGGGCAATTCTTCAAGATGGAAAACCAAGTCGCACTGAGGTGCTGGAGCCACACTGACCTTTCTCCACATCCCCCACCATGGGCTTTCACTTTTCTCCTGTGCTTGAATTTTTTTCACATACAAATTCTTTATACACACACACAGACACACACACATATCTCACTCTGTCAATGCAGTGGCTGAATCATGGGTCACTGCATCTTCAAATTCTTAGGCTCCAGTGATGCTTTCAAATCAGCCTCTCAAGTAGCTGGGACTACAGGCATGCAAAGCTACACCCAGACAATTTTTTAATTTTTTTCTAGAGACTGAGCCTACTTATGTTGCTCAGACTCGTCTTGAACTCCTGGGATCAAGCGATAATCCCACCTTGGCCACCTAAAGTGTTTAGATTACAGGTGTGAGCTAGCACTCTCAGCAAAAATATATTTTAAAGAACTGTTACAACCAAATTATGAGTTATCATTATGCCACTGCCCTCCAGCCTGGGCACGAGAGCAAGACCTTGTATCCAAAAACTAAGCAAAACTGAAAAAGAACAAACAAAAAAAAACCTTATAAATAAATTAAACTTTGAAGATTGTGTCATCTGTGTCCTTCCCTGCCCTCCAAGCTATCAATGTTAAATATAATGGTTATTGAGAAAATGGTTAGATATTATTAAGAAATTTCTATATATCTTCCAGCTGAGAATAGGTATTCTGATGTGGCCCAAATATTTTCTCACCGCTACCTTCAGTGTCTAAACTAGCAAATCAGGACACCTGCAGAGGACAGTTGACCGTTTTCAAATAGAAAGAGAAATACCCCGTTCATGAGAGTAATCCAGTGATTTTCAAAAAGACAAGACACACTGACATCCAGCGCAGTCAGGGCACAATTACCTTGGAAAAATCACCTCACACAGAATAGTTGAGGAGACTTTCTAAGGTGAGCAAATTTGGGCAACATAATCCTTTCTTATTTATTTCCAGCCCCCGCTGCCCCCCTGATTCCTAATGGTCACACAACAGTGTGGTCAGCAGTGGGGTGCAGTGTTGTGAGAGAGGGGCTCAGGGATGGGATGAAGGTCTTTACCGCGTTACAAAAATGCAGGTTAAAAAGTTGCTAAAAAGATGTCTAAATATTCTAATTCCTACTGTTACATAGCTGCTAAGATGCATTATACAACAGACCCAGGTAAGGGAAAGAGCATGTGCATTTCAAGTCTCAGCTCACGTCTGAATTAGCTGTGATACTCTGGGCACGTGACCCCAAATATAGGAGCCTGTTTGCCTGTCAACCCAAAACAATCCTAAGCAAAAACAACAAAGCTTGAGGCATCCTGCTACCCGACTTCAAACTATACTACAAGGCTACAGTAACCAAAACAGCACAGTACTGATACCAAAACAGATATATAGACAAATGGAACAGAACAGAGGCCTCAGAAATAACATCACACATCTACAACCATCTGATCTCTGACAAACCTGACAAAAACAAGCAATGGGGAAAGATTTCCTACTTACCAAATGGTGCTGAAAGAACTGGCTAGCCACATTCAGAAAACAGAAATTGTACCCCTTCCTTACACCTTATGCAAAGATTATCTTAAGATGGATTAAAGTCTTAAATGTAAAACACCAAACCATAAAAACCCTAGAAGAAAACCTAGGCAATACCATTCAGGACATAGGCATGAGCAAAGACTTCATGAATAAAATACCAAAAGCAATCACAACAAAAGCTAAAATTGACAAATTAGATCTAACTAAACTAACGAGCTTCTGCACAGCAAAAGAAGCTATCACCAGAGTGACCAGGCAACCTACAGAGTGAAAGAAAATTTTTGCACTCTATCCATGTGTCAGAGGTCTAATATCCAGAATCTACAAAGAACTTAAACAAATTCACACACACACACAAAAAAACCATCAAAAAGTGGGCACAGAATATAAACAGACTCTTTTCAAAAGAAGATATTTGGCTGGGCGCGGTTGATCAAGTCTGTAATCCCAGCACTTTCAGCCGTGGAGGCAGGTGGATCATGAGGTCAGGTGTTCAAGACCAGCCTGGGCCGCATGGCGACACCACATTTCTACTAAAAACACAAAAAATTAGTAGGATGTGTTGGCGGGTGACCTGTAATCCCAGTTTCTGGGGAGGCTAAGGCAGGAGAATCACTTGAACCTGGGTGGCAGATGTTGCAGTGAGCCGAGATACTTCCACTGCACTCCAGCCTGGGTGACAGAGCAAGACTCCATCTTAAAAATAATAATAATAAGTAAAATAAATAGAAAAAGAAGAAGGAGAAGGAGAAGGAGAAGAAGAAGAAGAAGAAGAAGAAGAAGAAGAAGAAGAAGAAGAAGAAGAAGGGGACCTTTATGTGGTCAACAAACACAAAAAAGAGAAAAGCTCATCATCACTGGAGACTAGAGAAATGCAAATCAAAACCACAATGGGATACCTTCTCACACCATGTTGAATGGCAGTTATTAAAAAGTTAGGAAACAACAGATGCTGGTGAGGCTGTGGAGGAATAGAAACACTTTTACACTGCTGGAGGGAGTGTAAATTAGTTCAACCATTATGGAAGACAGTGTGGTGATTCCTCAAGGATCTAGAACCAGAAATACCATTTGATCCAGCAATCTCATTACTGGGTATATACCCAAAGGAATATAAATCATTCTAGCATAAAGACACATGCACTCATATGTCTATTGCACCACTGTTTGCAATAGCAAAGACTTGGAACCAACCTTAATGCCCATCATTGATAGATTGGAAAAAGAAAATGTGGCACATATACACCATGAAATAATATGCAGCCATAAAAAGAATGAGTTCATGTCCTTTGCAGGGACGTGGATGAAGCTGGGAACCATTAACCTCAGCAAACTAACACGGGAACAGGAAAGCAAACACCATATGTTCTCACTCATATGTGGGAGTTGAAAAATGAGAACACATGGACACCTGGAGCCAAAGATCACACACTAAGGCCTGTTAAGGGGTTGAGGTCAAGGGGAGGGAGAAAATTAGGACAAATACCTAATGCATATGGGGCTTAAAACCTAGATGGCAGGTTGATAGGTGCAGCAAACCACCATGGCACATGTAAAACTATGTAACAAACCTGCACGTTCTGCACATGTATTCCAGAACTTAAAAACAAACTAACAAAAGTGCACTAAGTCTGAGGGGGAGTGGGGGTAAGGGCAGGAGTCAGGCTCGGGTGGGTGCGTCCTGGAGTTTTATCCAATCATTGACACTGATGTGGGAACCGCCCAATCAGGCGCGCAGTTGGAGAGGACAGGAGAGGAGGGCGTGGCTTCCTGCATTTGGCGGGGTCTTTGTCTCTCGCTGGCGCTGGCACAGGAACTTGGGATCCGTCTCCTCTTTCGCCTCCTGCACCTTGGGAGCCCCGGGCTACTCTCCCACAGCCCCTGTTGCCCTGTGATCTGTAGGTCCTTGGGGACGCATAGTCAAGGTGCCAGGACATCCTGGAAGCTGGGAAATGGTGAGTATACGGGGTTCGCCATCCCGAGAGGGGAGAACAGACTGTGAAACCGGCAGGACCGTCCTCCCCACGGTTAGCTCCGAGTCTCCCGCAGCTTGGCCCTCAGTCCCCTGTGGCTGCAAGATGGCCGCTGGGCCAGCAGCGAGGGCCCCACGTCCCGTCCGGCCCATCCGGTCCTGTCCCTGGGCAGCGCCCTGCTCTGCGCCCACAGCCATGAGTATTTCCCAGATTGTTCAGGGAGGCCTGGTGGGTCATCAGGGAAAAACCGCGACTGGGTGTTTGCGTGGGAGGAGCTGCGGCCCGTGGGGTCCCCAGTCTCTCTTGTTAAAAATTAACGGGAGTCTATGTTAAACGTTAACCAGTTTATCTGAACAAAGAGTGATTGGTGAAATGGAAAGCACCCAGCCATGATTTCTGGTCCACCAGAGGGGCATAAAGGAAAGGCTTTCATAAGATGCATGAGAAAGCAGCCCAAATTCAAGAATTGGTTCCAGTTATATGGTAGCCTTATTTGAACTATCCAGATGGAAATGTCCTGGTTACATATTCAGAGGTTAATTGCATGTTTGTCATGGGTTAAACCTGCATTTTGCTTCAGGCTAAGATAGTGTTTTATAGGAAATATATTTGAGTTAGGTTTTAGATTTTTTTTTGTTTGTTTTTTGTTTTTTACCTATGAACACAGGGCACTAGAGCCACTTTAGACTAATTTTCTGATCTTTAATTATTTTAACACTCCAGAGGAGGACTGGTTTTCTCCTGTGTTTTTTTAATGTATGGCAAGTGGAACCTCTAATCGACCACCCTGTTTTTCATCCTAACTCAGGCTTGCAGTAAAATTATCAGTTCCCACTTTCTTTGCTGCATTCTCAAATGCAACACATGAGACCAGCTTTCCCTTGCCAATTTACAATGCTGTTAACTATATGTCCTTTATTATACATTTCATTAAAGTTTTCTATTATTTGGTTTCTTTCTACTTCTCCCTACAGTTCTGGCAATATTTGCTTTTTATATTTAGAAGCCTCCCTTTTGGGTGCATAAATATATAAAGCTATATTCTCTTGAGAAATTAACCTCTATTATTATTCTATGGTAAACTCATTTCATGCTTGTGAGAGACATTGCTAGAAAGTCTATTTTGTCTAATTTAAGCATTACCGTTGCACTCCTTTGGTTATTGTTTGCATGGAATATCATTTTCTATCCTTTCACTTTTAGCCTATGCTCTTAATTCATAATTGAGTCTCTTGTAAGCAGCATATTACGAGGTTTAAACGATTAATTTATCCACTCTGTCTGCTTTAGTCTCTTTTGGCTGCTATAACTGAATATCACACACTGGTAATTAATAAAGAATAGAATTTTATTTGACTTATGATTCTGGAGGCTGGGAAGCCAAAACAACATGATACTGGTATATGTTGAAGGTCTAGTTGCTGGATAATAACATAGACAAAGATGTGAGGGAGAGAGAGCTTTTTTTTTTAATATATAACAGATCCATTCTTGTTATAATTAGCCCATTCCCATAATAAGAACATTAATCCATTCATGAGGGCAGAGTTCTTAGAGCTTAATTAATTTTTAAAGGTTCCACCTCTTAATTCTAACATGTTGGCTATTAAATTTTATCCTAAATTTTGGAGATGACATTCAGTGTACAGCAGTATCTGTTTAGTAGATACTTTAATCTTTTTATTTGTAAGGTAGTGATAGGTAAGGAGTTACTATTGTAAATTTGTAGTTTTCTGTCCATTTTAAGTTTGCTTCTTTTTTTTCTGGTTCTGTCTTTCCTGTGGTATTGTTCATTTTTGTTGAGACAAAGTTATGCTTTCTTGCTCAGACTGAAGTGCAGTGGCATATCACAGCTCACTGTAGCTTCAACCTCCTGGGCTCAAATAATCCTCCCACCTTAGCCACCCAAGTAGCTTGGACTACAGACACGTACCACAACACCCAAGGAGATTTCATCCTTCCACCTTGGCCTCCCAAAGTGTTGGAATTATAAGCAGGAGACACCATATCCAATGTGTAATTTTTGTTGTTTGTGTATGCTTTAATTACTTTCTCTTTTTCTTTACTGCAGTTTTTTTTTCCTAGTGGTTATCATGAGACTTAGGTAAAACATCTTGTATTTTAATAGTCTAGTTTAAGATGATAACAATTTATAGTATTCTGAAATTCAGTATGTATTTACCATTTTAGTGACATTTATACTTTAGTATTTTTCATATTGTTAGTTAGCATTTCATCATATCAATGTGAAGATTTCTTCCAGACCATGGCTGGAGAAGGAAAGAAGGTGTGTTTTGCCTGACTCAGTGACTATAGAGAGAACCAAGTTCTGCAGGCCTGTCACCTAAGTCTCAGGTGAGTATGAATTCTCTTGTGTTTTTCACAGATTGTTGCAGTGGCAGGACCAAGGTCAAATGAGTTATAGCCAAGTCTACAGTAAGATGTGGCAGTATTCTGTTTTGAAGCCGGGACCATGATTGGCAAGCTTGCCACTTGGTCAAGTGCTCACCCTCTGAAAATGTCTTCCTTGGTCTTTGCCTCCAGCTGGGTGCCACAAACTCTGAACTGGATTCCAAGGCTTTCATGAATGCACTTATGTTTGCTGTGGCAGCTGCATTATGTCGTGGGGGATGTGGATGCAGAACCTCACATTCTGTCGTCTTGCTTATGTTACTCTCCTTTATGTTTCACTTTCTCAAATGAATGTCAAGCAGGTGATTTTCAGATTCAAAAGTTCTAAAATAAATTGCTCAAATTTATACATTATGTAAGCTGTTAATAAAATTTCTTGTAGGTGCTACATATTTGTTAAAATTTTTGGTTGTAATTTTAAGCTCACTGTAGGCAGAAAGGAATCATTAAGATTTCTATTCTTTTTTAGTCTGTATCTAAATGACCATATATTTTAATTCCAAATATTTACTTTATACTTCAGTAATGCTCATTGTATTTTGCAAAATTTATATTGTTCTTTTATTTGAAAATATAAGGCTTTTTTTAGCTCCTGAAAGCTATATTATAGTCATATAGTTTTATTATAGTATTTGATAAGAAGAGCAGCAACATATTGAGAACAGATAAAATTCTGCTGTCTTTTTAATGATTATTTATTAAATTCTTCTCATTAGAGCCTATTATTAATGATTGTAATGTATTTACTGTATAATTTTTCTGCAATTTATTAAATGCCAATGACTTCCAATGTCTGCTTTTCATGACTGCACACAGTTTAAAGCTGTAGATATCTAATGGGTTATTTTTCAGCCCGGCATGGTGGCTCACGCCTGTAATCCCAGCACTTTGGGAGGCCAAGGTGGGTGGATCACGAGGTCAGGAGATCAAGACCATCCTGGCTACCATGGTGAAACCCCGTCTCTACTAAATATAGAAAAAATTAGCCGGGCATAGTGGTGGGTGCCTGTATTCCCAGCTACTCGAGAGGCTGAGGCAGGAGAATGGCGTGAACCCAGTGGGCGGAGCTTGCAGTGAGCCGAGATGGCACCACTGCACTACAGCCTGGGCGACAGGGTGAGACTCTGTCTCAAAAAAAAAAAAAAAAAAAAAAGGGCTTATTTTTCATTGTATATTTATGTTGTATTCAGGATTTTATGCATTTAATCTCTCTTCTTATGTTCAATTCTGTGTTGTTGTGTTTCTTTTCTTGGGGGGTATGTTTTCTCAGATCAGTTAATTGTATTTTTGCTTTTAAAGCTTGATATCATGAGTTGAATGATAATTTTTTAACTCGGTACACTTTATGACAATGTGATATTTAATTTATATGTGAATTAGCCGTGTTTGTTGCTTATACATATATCTATGTGTTTTTCACCTATGTATGTCATTTTTTTCATCTTTTTTCCTTGTTTTTTTTTTTAAGTTTCAGATACGCTTTCTTTTTCTTTTTTTTGTTTTTTTCTTTTAAAGAGAATTTTAAAACAGAGTCAAATGAACAAAAATCAGTTATTTGTCCTCTTGCAGGGCGGGTAGACCTTCCTTCCCCACGGGTTTGAGGCTATGGCTAAGTGGTGAGCCTTGGGGAGATGCAGGAAGGATCCATCCCAGGCACTTGGCTAGAGGTAAGTAAAAATAGCCTTTGGACCAGAAGACCTGATAGTTTGGGTACTCGTCTGAACATAAGTCCCCATCTTCCCAGAAATGTCGTCTTTTGTCTGCAACAACTGGCTGGAGAAATATTTCAGAAAGATGTGTGCCTGGAACACCCAAAGACGTACCTTTCCTTTCTCTTTGGCATAGGCCTTGTAGCACTGTAGAAAGACCAGGTTTGCAATGGAGCCTTCAATACTCTTCATCCCTATGGATCTCAGGGGCTCATAGGGTGACAGGAGAGGAGACAAGCTAGCTTGGGAAGAGTCTTTGTACTTCAGCTTCTCCCCTACTGAAACACTATATACTTGGGGCCACAGTTCATCACAAAACACACATGCTCTCTTTCTTTCTCTCACACCCACATCTTGGGAACCCAACAACTTGATGGCAGGTAGCTCTGGGTATCCTTGGTCTGGCATTCACCCACTGGGCATCTAAGCTGTCCTAAAGCTCTTTTCAATCACTTCTCACTCTTTCCAGGCCCATGTGGGTAGGTGTTCCAGCCTTCACTCTTTCAGGCTGATCATAGAGGCACAGTGTGGGAAAATCCCCTACTGTGATGGCCATTGCTGGGAAGCAGGGAAGGTTAAGGGCCCACTGCTGCCCAAGGCTAGTGCAGAGGCCCTCTGCTCCTCCACTCATCTCCTCAAAGAATGATATCAGGTGCAGCAGCTGCTGTCTGGAATGTTATCAAACCAGGACTGCACAGGCACTGCATTCTCTGTGTGGAAGAGGTAAGAAGCAGGCTAGTTGTCCAGGATGAGTTTTCCTCAGGTCCCTCCCCAGATGGCTGACGTTCTTGACATAGCAGCCCTGGTGAAACAAACATGACTCATGGGTCAGGCAGCCCCAAACCATCCCATACCCGTCCAGCTCACCCGTCACAGGATCTGCCTACTTGTTCAGGCTGGGAAGAAGAGAGCAATGACGAAAACACATTTAAACATTTCCTCCATTCATGTCAGGAACTCATCCATATAAGGCCTCATGAGCACATGGATCTGGTGCATGGTCCCCTCAAGCTCTACAGGCACTAGGCAGTCAGCATTGCTGATTGGCTTAAAGGAGCTATGCACAAGGGTTTCATCCAGGTCAGTGACCATACAGATCCTTCCTTGATTTTTCTCTGTCACCTCTGGGAGCAGGCAGGTTCCTGGGATCTGATAAAACTGATATTGGAGACGCTGGAGCTGATCCGACATAGCAATGGTGTTGACTCCCTCCTTATGTGTGGATTGCTCAGCGGGGGAACTTGACTGTCCAACATGCTGGGTGCAAGAACAGCAGAAAGGGGACTTTTAAGATGTGGCAAACATGAGGCCTCTTCGGAGAGGACTTTGGAAACCAGGCCTTGCTTGGTAAGGACCAGGGCATCTTCCCTCCATGCCTGGGTGATGATGGAGCCTTGTTCCATCTAACAATCCTGAGGGCTGGGCTGGGGGGCATGGGCTGGGGCCTGATTCAGTTCCCGAGATTCTGACCTCCACAGCTGTTCACATACCCCTTCTCCTTTCCATACTGGTCGGGAAGGGAGGTGGCTTGTAGGGAGGGTGGTTGGCCTTGGCAGCAGCTCCCCAGTGTGCCCCCATCCCCGATTCCCCCAGCGAGAGCTTCAAGATCCTCAGTTTGGGTCTAACATAGAGAATCCACTAGAAACACATTTTTTTTTCAAGTTTTATTTTAAGTTCAGGGGTCCATATGTGATAAAGTTTATTTTTCAACTTCTATTTTAAGTTTAGGGGTCCATGTGCAGACTATGCAGGTCTCTTACATACATAAATGCGTACCACTGTGGTTTACTGCACAGATCATCTCATCACCCAGGTACCAAGCCCAGCATCCGCAGCTATTCTTCCTGATGCTCTCCTTCCCCTCCCCCATGCCATGAAACAGGTGTCCAGTGTGTGTTGTTCTTCCTGATGTGTCCATGTGTTCTCATTGATCTGCTTCTGCTAATAAGTTAGAATAATAATAGGCGGTGTTTGGTTTTCTGTTCCTGCATTAGTTTGCTGGGAGTAATGGCTTCAAATTCCAACCATGTCCCTGCAAGGGACATCATCTCATTATATTTTATGGCTTCATAGTGTTCCATGGTGTATGTGTACCACATTTCCTTTATCCAGTGTATCATTGATGGGCATGTAGATTGATTACATGATGTTGCTATTGTAAATAGTGCTGCAATGAGCATTTGTATACATGTATTTTTAAAATAGAATTATTTATATTCCTTTGGGTGTAATGGTATTGCTGGGTCAAATGGTAGTTCTGCTTCTAGGTCTTTGAGGAATCTCCACACTCTCTTCCTCAATGCTTGAAATAATTTACACTCCCACCAACAGTGTAAAAGTGTTCCCTTTTCTCCACAACCTCGCCAGCATCTGTTTTTTTTTTTTTTACTTTTTATTAATAGCCATTATAATTTGTGTGAGATGGTATCTCATTATGGTTTTGATTTGTATTTATGCAGTTATCAGTGATGTTGAGCTTTTCATGTTTGTTGGGCACATGTATGTCCTCTTTTGAGATATGTCTGTTCATGTTCTTTGACCCTTTTTTAATGGGGCCTTTTTTTTTTCTTTTGTAAATTTTGTTAAATTCCTCCTAGATTCTGGATATTAGACATTTGTGAGATGGATAGGTTGCATAATTTTTCTCCCATTCTCTAGGTTGTCTGCTCTGATGATAGTTTCTTTGGCTCCGCAGAAGCTCTTTAGTTTAATTAGACCCCATTAGTCAATTTTTGCTTTTGTTGCTATAGCTTTTTGCCTTTCTGTCATAAAGTCTTTTCTCATGCCTATATCCTGAATGGTATTATCTAGATTTTTTCTTCTAAGGGTTTTATAGTTTTGGGTTGTACATTTAAGTCTTTAATCCATCTTGAGTTAATTTTTGTACATGGTGTTAAGAAGGGTTCCAGTTTAAATTCTCTGCATATGGCTAGCCAGTTCTCCTGGCACCATTTTTTGAATAGGGACACCTTTCCCTAATTCCTTGTTTTTGTTAACTTTGTCAAAGATCAGGTTGTTGTAGGTTTTTGGCTTTATTTCTAGGTTCTCTACTTTGTTTCATTTGTCTATGTGTCTGTTTCTATACCAGTACCATGCTGTTTTTGTTACTGTACTCTTCTAGTATAGTTTGAAGTTAGGTAGAGTGACACTTCCAGCTTTTTTTTTTTTTCTTAAGGTTGGCTTGGCTATTTGGGCTCTTTTTTGGTTCCATATGAACTTTAAAAGTTTTTATTTTTCTAATTCTCTGAAGAATGTCAGTAGTTCAATGGGAATAGCATTGAATCTATGAATTACTTAGGGCCATATGCCCATATTCATGATACTGATTCTTCCTCTCCATGAGCATGGAATATTTCTCCATCTGTTTTGTGTCCACTCTGATTTCTCTGAGCAGTTGTTTGTGGTTCTCCTTGAAGAGGTCCTTCACTTTCTTTCTTAGCTGTATTCCTAGGTATTTTTTTCTCTTTGTAGCAAATGTGAATGAAAGTTCATTCATGATTTGTCTCCCTGCTTGCCTGTTGTTTGTGCATGGGAATGCTAGCTACTTTTGCACATTGATTTTATATCCTGAGATTTTGCTACTGTTGCTTATCACCTTAAGAAGCTTTGGGCCTGAGACAATGAGGTTTTCTAGATGTAGGATCAGGTCATCTGCAAACAAAGATAATTTGACTTCCTCTCTTTCTATTAGAATACTCTTTATTTCTTCCTCTGGCCTGATTTTCCTGGCCAAGGCTTCTGATACTATATTGAATGGTAGTGGTGAAAGAGGGCATTCTTTTCTTGTGCCAGTTTTCAGGTGGAACGTTTCTAGCTTTTGCACATTCAGTATGATATTGGCTGTGGGTTTGTTGTATATGGCTCTTATTATTTTCAGGTATGTTTCTTCACTTCCTAGTTTATTGAGAATTTTAAACCTGAAGGAATGCTGAATTTTATTGGATGCTTTTTCTGCATTTATTGAGATAATCATGTGGTTTTTGTATTTAGTTCTCTTTATGTGATGAGTCACATTTATTGATTTGCATATGTTGAATCAACCTTGCATCCTGGGGACAAAGCCAACTCCATTGTTGCGGATGAACTTTTTAATGTGCTGCTGGATTTGGTTTGCCAGTATTTTATTGAGGATTTTTGCACAGTGTTTACCAAAGACATTGGCATGATGTGTTGTTGTTGTTGTTGTTGTAGTATCTATGTTAGGTTTTGGTATCTGGATGATGCTGGCCTGATAGAATGAGTTAGAGAGAACTTCTTTGTCTTCAATTTTTTTTGGATGGTTTTAGGAGAAAAGGTACCATCTCCTCTTTGTACCTCTGCTCAAATTCAGCTTGCTTGGTAGGCTAGTTTTTACTGCCTCAGTTTCAGAACACATTATTGATCTATTCAGGGTTCAGTCTTGTGGAGGGTTTATTTTGCAAGGAAATTGTCTATTTCTTCTAGATTTTCTGGTTTATGTGCATACATATGTTTATAGTGTTCTCTGATTGTTGTTCATATTTCCATGGGATCAGTGATGATATCTCCCTTATTATTTCTAATTGTGTTTGGTTCTCCTTTCTTTTCTTATTTATTTGCCTAGCTAGTGTTCCATCTAGTTTATTAATTTTTTTCATAAAAACAGCTCCTGGATTTGTTGACTTTTTTTTTTGGAAGAGTTTTCAGTGTCTCTATCTCCCTCAGCTCTACTTTGATCTTGGTTATTTCTTGTTTTCTGCTACCTTTCTGGTTAGTTTTCACTTGGTTTTCTAGTTCTTTTAATCAAGATGTTAGGCTGTTAATTTTAGATCTTCTAGTTTCTCTTTTTTTTCTTCTTGTGGCAGAGTCTCACTCTGTCACCCAGGCTGGAGTACAGTGGCATGATCTCCGCTCATTGCAACCTCCACTTCTCAGTTTTAAGTGATTTCTGCTGTCTCAGCTTCCTGAGTAGCTGGGATTACAGATGTGCATCACAAAAACCAGCTAATTTTTGAATTTTTTTTGTAGAGGTGGGGTTTTGTTGTGTGGTCCAGACTGGTCTTGAACATCTGGCCTTAAGTGATTTGCCTACCCCAGCCTCCCAAAGTGCTGGAACTACAGGCATGAGCCACCACACCCAGCCCTTTCTATCTTTTTGATGTGGACATTAGTGCTATAAATTTCCCTCTTTTCTTGGTTTCCAGTGATTATTTTATTCTATCTTGGTGAGTCATCAGGGAAATAATCTTAAATTTACAATCAACATATAGTTTAAATCCATATAATTGTGTGAGAAGAACCCTTTGTTATTTGAAGGTGATGTTTGAAAGATTTTCTAACTGTGCCTTTTAGTTAGTCTTAAATTTCTAATTGTAGTTAAAAACATGCCATTGTCATTTCTGACATTTTAAGTATATGGTTTAGAAGTGGTTAGTATAGTTCTATTGTTTTGCAGTAGGTTTTAGATAATTTGTGTCTTACAAAAGTAAAAGTGAATACTCATTACTTATGAAAGAAGTTAGTTAGCTTGCCTTAGGTAGATAGCAAGAGAAGAGTCCCTGGAAAGTCCCTGGTCAGTGCCTCATCCCTGCATAACATATAAAGAAGCCTGGAAAAAATCAAGCTGCAGACACTAACAAGGGAACTAGCATATGTTGTTGTGCTTGGGGACATGCCCGTGGCTGCACAGATAGAAAAACCTCTGGCCCATTTGGATAAAAACTTGTAGAAACCTCCAGCTCACTCAGATAAAGGAACAAGAACGACCTAGCATAGAAATGCCTTTGTTTGGCCAGGCACGGTGGATCATGCCTGTAATTCCAACAATGTCGGAGGCAGCTGTGGGCGGATCATCTGAGGTCGGGAGTTTGAGACCAGCATGACCAAGATGGACAAACTCTGTCTTTACTAAAAATACAAAACTAGCCAGGCATGGTGCTGCATGCCTATAATCCCAGCTACTTGGGAGGCTGAGGCAGGAGAATCGCTAGAACCCAGGAGGCGGAGGTTGCTGTGAGCCGAGATCGCACCATTGCACTCCAGGCTGGGCAACAAGAGCAAAACTGCAAAAAAAAAATAAAAAAAAATAAAAAAAGAAAGTACATCTCAAAAAAAAGAAAGACAAGAAAAAGAAAAAAAAGAAGCACTTTTGTCTTTGTACAGTCAGTGGGCTCCCAGGAAAATGTTCCTTCTCTTTTTGTTGGCATGGGCACTGTGGGATCTGGTGCATTCCGGTCGACACTCTCGTTTATTTGGACTGTAAGTCTGACCTCTATGAATAATTACTTCAGCCCCTGAGTGCTCCCGGGCCAAGCTCCTTGGCCAAACTTTCACCTTAGCTTCTGATAAGTCTTGGGCCAAGCTAAGCAGCATCTATCAATCATCCCTTCAGCTCCTGATTGATCCCGGGCCAAAGGCCTGGGCCAAGCTGAGCCACACGTTTTTCAAGACAGCCTGTGAACTAGGCACGTATCCTTCCCTTCCCAGTCCATAAAAACCCTGGACCCAGCCTCGTAGAGGGCACCACTTTCAGACACCTATCTCTGCTGGCAAAGAGCTTTCTTCTCTTGCTTCTTAAACTTTCACTCCAACCTCACCTTTGTGTTCACGCTCCTTAATCTCCTTAGAGGTAGAACAAAGAACTCTGGATGTTATCTCAGACTACGAGAGACTGTTACATCTTGGTGCACTGCTGAGACTACGACACTTGGTTTCTTTGAGTTTGACTAAATGTTTTACATGAGTGTAATTATACAGCTTTCCTTTTTGACTGTCTTATTTTACTTAACAGAATGTTTTGAAGATTTGTCCTTATTGTAGTACTTTTCAAGATTTCCTTATTTTTAAGGCTGAATGCTATCCCAGTGATTGTACGTGCCTTGTTTGCTGAATCTACTCATCCTTAAGGGTACATTTGCTTCCAGGTAACATGTTTGTGAGTAATACTACAATGTGCATATATCTATTCCATGTTCTGCTTTGTCTGTTTGGGATATTTTTCATACACTGATTCAGTACCATGTGTATTCCCTTGCTTTTGTTGTCTCATCCGTTGATGCTACGTCCCCCAAATTATTGCCACGACCAGTTGTAATGAAGCTTCACCCTTCTGTATTGTGCTAGGAATTTTACAGTTATAGGTTTTACATTATAGTCTTCATTCATTTTTTAAAATTGACACATGTAATTGTGCATATTTTGGGGAAACAATTATATATATGTTTTGTATAACAATAAAAATCAGTACTTCTATATTTGTTGCCTCATGCATTTGTTATTTTTGTGGTGAGAATATTCAAAAGCTCCTTCTCTAGCTATTTTATTTTATCTTTATGTATTAATTTTTTTTAGAGACAGGATCTTGCTCTAACACCCAGACTGGTGTGCAGTGGTGCAATCCTAGCTCACTGTAACTTCAAACAGTCTTCTAACCTCAGCTTCCCAATTAGCTGAGACTACAGGAAGCTGCCACCATGCCTGGCTAATGTTTTAATTTTTCATACAGACGGGGTCACACTATGTTGTCCAGGCTCATCTTGAACTTCTGACGTCAAGTGATTCTCCTACCTCAATCTCCCAAAATGTATGGATTGCAAGAATATGCCACCGAAACTGGTCTCTTTTAGCTATTTTGTAATATGAGATAACTTTTCATTAATTATTATTATTCTACTGTGTAATAAAAAACAAAAACTTATTTCCCCTATCTAATCATAACACAATACCTGTGAAGCAGCCTTTTCCCATCCTCCTGCTTCAGTCTCTGGTAACCCCTGTTGTACTCTTTGCTTCTATCAACCCTTTTTTTCAGGTTCCTCAAATGAGTGAGATAATAAGATCATAAAGTATTTGTGTTTCTCTATGTGGCTTATTTTACTTAACATGGTATGCTCAAGGTTCATCCATGCTCTTTTAACTGACAGAATTTTATGCTTTCTTATGGCTGAATAGTATTTCGCTGTGTATATATAGTACATTTTCCTTATCCATTTATCTGTTGCTGTACATTTGAATTGATTCCATATATAAGCTATTATAAATAGTTCTGTAATGAACATGGGAATGCAAATATCTTTTTGACACAGTAATATCCTTTCTTTTGGATATACACCCAGAAGTAAAATTGCTGGATCATATAATAGATATATTTTTAATTTCTTTCAGAAACCTCCATACTATTTTCTATAATGGCCATACTAATTTACAATTCCACCAACAAGGTATACATCCACTCTTTTTTATATCCTCATTAGTTCTTGATTTATTTATTTATTTATTTTTATTATAGCCATTCTAATGGGAATGAGGTGGTACTTCATTGCAGTTTGGATTTGCATTTCCTTGGTGATTAGTAATGTAGAGCATCTTTTTATGTTCCAGTTAGCCATTTTTGTATCTCTTTTTGACAAACATCTATTAAGATCTTTTGCATTTTTTAAATTAGATTATAAGTGTATTTTATTTTGAGATTTTAAAGTTTCTTATATATTCTGAATATTAGCCTTTTGTCACATGTATATGAGAACATTTTCTGTCATCGCCTAAGCTGTCTCTTCAAACTTTTAGTTGTTTTTTTAATATGAAAAAGCATTTTAGTTTGACATAATGTTGTTTGTTTATTCTCGATTTTGTTGCCCATGTTTTGAAATCTTATTTTAATAATCCTTTCACCGTCCAATGTTATAAAGCATTTTTTTATGTTTTTCTCTAATAGTTTCATAATTGATGGCATTACATTTAAGTCTTTAGTTTTAGTTGATTATCATATATGGCAAGGTACAAGGGTCTAGTATTATTTTTCTGCATATAAATATTTAAATGGCCCTGCACCATTTATTAAAGAGATTAGTTTTTCTCTAAAGTGTGTTCTTGGTAATTTTGTTGACAATCAGTTGGCTTTAGGTGCATAAATTAACTTCTGGGCTTATTGGGCACATTAGTCTATGTGTTTGTTTTTATGCCAGTACAGTGCTGTTTTGGTTACTGTAGCTTTATAGCAAGTTTTGAAGTTTGATGAAGTGATGCCTTTAGCTTTGCTTATTTTGCTCAAAGTTGCTTTGTCTATTCAGAGTTTTTTGTGGATCCATATAAATTTAAATTTTTTTATTTCTGTCAAAAAATGTCATTGGTATTTTGATAAAAATCACATTAAGTCTGTAGATCACTTTGGGTAGCTATATCAACAGTATTCTTCCAGTGTATAAACACAATATTTTTTATTTATTCATTTGTATTTTATATTTTTTATCCATGTTTTGTCGTTTTCAGAGTAGAGATCTTTTACCTTTTTAGTTAAGTTTGTTGCTAGGTGTATTAGTTGGGCTTCCCTAGAGAGATCATGAGATCCCACAATAGGTTGTCTGCAAGTTTGAGGAGCAAGGAGAGGTGGTCCATGTCCCAAAGCTGAAGAACTTGGAGTCTGATGTTTGAGGGCTGCAAGTGTCCAGCACAGGAGAAAGATGTAGTCTGGGAGCTTAGGCCAGTCTCTCTTTTTCACGTTTTTCTGCCTGCTTTATATTCACTGTCAGCTCATTAGATGGTGCTCACCCAATTAAGAGTGGATCTCCCTTTCCCAGCCCACTGACTCAAATGTTAATGTCCTTTGGCAACACCCTCACAGACACACCCAGGATCAATGCTTTCTATCCTCCAATCCAATCAATTTGACACCCTGTATTAGCCATCACATTAAGTATTTTCATTTTTGTAGCTTTTGCATATGCAGAAGAAGAATTGGATGAAATTCAGCCTTGATTATGATGAAAACTCTCAACAAGTTAGGAATAGAAGGTATGTGCCTTAACTCAATAAAGGCCATTTATGAAAAAGCAATGCTAACTTTATACTGAATAAGGAAAAGTTGAAAGCTTTCTCTCTGAGATCTGGAACAAGACAAATCGTCCAAACTTTCAGCCCTCTTATTCAACATAGTACTGGAAGTCCTAGCCAAGGAAATTAGGCAAGAGGAAGAAATAAAAGTCATACTAATTGAAAGGATGATGTCAAATGGTCTCTGATTGTGGACAAAATAATCTTATATGTGAAAAACTCTAAACACTACACCAAAAACTATTAGAACTACTAAACAAATTCTGTAACATTGCAGAAAATTAACACAGTAGTAGCTTTCTGTATGATGATAGCGAACTATCTGAAAAATAAAATTTTAAATTCCGTTTTAATAGCTACCAAAAATTAGTTATTTTGAGTTTATTTCTTTATTTGTGGTGGAGCCTTTCTCTGTCACCAGGCTGGAGCGCAGTGACATGATCTCAGCTCACTGAAACTCTTGCCTCCCGGATTCCAGAGATTCTCCTGCATCAGCCGCCTGAGTGTCTGGAACTGCAGGCATGTGCCACCACCGCCAACTAATTTTTGTTTGTATTTTTAGTAGAGACGTTGTTTCCCCATGTTGGCCAGGATGGTCTTGATATCCTGACCTTGTGATTCACTTGTCTCAGTCACCCAAAGTGCTGGGATTACAGGTGTGAGCCACCACACCCAGCCTTGAGTTTATGTTTTTATCTGTTGCAAGTTAAAGTCTAACTTTGTTAGTTTTTCCTTGTAAATTTTTATTATTCCCAATACTGTTTGTTGAAGAGACTGTTCTTTCCTTTTTGTGATTCTTGGAACACATTTTAAAAATATGTTTACTATACCCATGAGGACTTATGTCTGGACTCTCTCATCTGTTTCATCATTCATTTGTCTTTATGTCAGTACCAAACTGTTTTGATTACTATATGTTCATAGTATGTTTAGAAAATAGAAAGTATGATGCCTCTGTCTTTATATTTTTTTCCCAATATTGTTTGGCTGTTTGTGATCACTTGAAATTCCATAAAAATTGTAGAATATTTTAAAACTTCTGCAAAAAGTTTCATTGGTATTTTGATAGAAAGTATATTGAATCAGCTGAGGGTTGTGGCTCATGCCTGTAATCCCAGCACTTTGGGAGGCTGAGGAAGGTGGAACACCTGAGGTCAGGAGTTCCAGACCAGCCATGGAGAAACCCCATCTCTACTAAAAATACAAAATTAGCCAGGTGTGGTGGCACATGCCTGTATTCCCAACTACTCAGGAGGCTGAGGCAGGAGAACAGCTTGAACCCAGGAGGTGGAGGCTGCAGTGAACTGAGATCACACCATTGCACTCCACCTTGGGCAACAAGAGCAAAACTCCGTCTCAAAATACAAAGAAAGAAAAGAAAAGAAAGAACATTGAATCCGTAGACCACTTTTGGTAGTAGTGACATTTTAACAATATTAAGTCTATAACCTCTTGAACAAGAGTGTGTTTGAGAATTTGTTGTTTAATTTTTACTTATTCTTTGACATGCTAGTGTTTTTAACTTCTTGTTTTATTGTATCATAGTTAGGAATAATTTGTGTAATTCCATCTGCTGAAATTTGCTAAGATGTGTTTTTTAACTTAACAGGTGGTCTATCTGGAATATTGTGGCATGTGTGATTAAAAGTATTGCATATTCTACTGTTGAGTGGAGAGATATAAATGTGACTGTTAGGTCTAATTGTTCTATTGTGTTGTTGAAATCCTCTGTTTACTTATTCATCTTATGTTTGTTTTTTAATTTACATTACTAAAAGTATGATAAAAAAGTCATCTACTGTTATGTGCTGGCTACTTCATGTTTCAATTCTGTAAAATGTTGCTTCATATTTTGGGAACTGTGATGTAAGGCACATACATTACTGTTGCTTTTATTGTTGCATGTTGTTTTATTGTTGCTTTTATTGATGTATGTTGTTTTTTGTTGCTTTTATTGTTGTTGTTTTTATTGTCCTTTTCTTCTTCTCTCTTGAGGAAGTTTTTGATATAATATATATTTTGTCTACCATGACAGTATTTGATTTTGCATTTAATTTTTTTTATTCTTTCATGTATGGCTTATGCGTGTTCCAGATCATAATGTGGTCATTTGTAGGAAGCAGAGAGTTGAATCTTGTTTCATGAATTTATTTAGTGAAAGTATGTTTTTGATTGACATAATTTATATATATATAAAATCATTACTAAAAGGGAATAATTTCCTATGACTTTCTATTGAATTTTGTTTCTTTTTTGTTTTAGGTCCTGTAGCTTTTTCTGTTGAGACGGAGTTTTGCTCTGTTGCCCAGGCTGGAGTGCAGTGGTGCAATCTTGGCTCCCTGCAAGCTCCGCCTCCCGGATTCACGCCATACTCCTGCCTCAGATTCCCCAGCAGCTGGGAATTCAGGCACCCGCCACCATGCCCGGCTATTTTTATTTTTATTTGTTTATTTTTTTTAGTAGAGACAGGGTTTCACTGTGTTAGCCAGGATGGTCTCAATCTCCTGACCTCGTTGATCCACCCACCTCGGCCTCCCAAATTGCTAGGATTACAGGCGTGAGCCACCGCTCCTGGCCGGTCCTGTAGCTATTATTTCCTGTTTTTCTCTCTTGTTCTCTTTCTTAGCGTATTATTGATCTTTATAGTGACATGTTTTAATTCTTTTCTCACTACTCTCTCTGTGTGTATGTCTTTGTGTGTGTGTACTATAGGTATTTCCTTTTTTTTTTTTTTTGACAGGGTTTTGCTCTGTCACCCAGGCTGGAGGGCAGTGGCACAATCTCTGCTTATTGCAAGCTCTGCCTCTCAGGCTCAACTCAAACAATCCTCCCACCACAGCCTTCTGAGTACCTGGGACCACAGATGTGCACCAGTACTCCTGGCTAATTTTTGTTATTTTTCATAGAGACAGGGTTTTGCCATGTTGCCCAGACTAGTCTCAAAATCCTAAGTACTATAGGTATTTTCTTTGTTGTTACTATAGATATTACCAAAAATAACTACTATAGCATATAAAACCCTGCCTCTTTATGGCTGCCTATGTGTTTTATTGATGTCGCGAATTACATCATTTTGTATTGTGAATCTATTGGCACAGTTATATAGTCATTTTTAAGTCTTTGTTATCTCAACTACATAGCAGAATTAAAAGTATTCTGTGCATCTTCATTATAATAACAAAGAATATTATAATTGTGTACATAATTATCTGTTAGAAAACTTTATATTTTACATAATTCTGTGTTGCTCTCATCATTATTTTATTTTTTAATGTCAATGACTAGCATTTTTTTATACAGGCCTACTGTGCATAAATTAATACAGTTTTTGTTGATCTTGAATATTCTTTATTTTTATTTTTTAATTCATTTGAAATGATAGCTTTGGCAGACATAGTGTTCTTGGTTGGTACTTGCCATTTTTTTCAGCACTTTGAGTATGTCATCCTACAACCTCTTGCCTGCATGCTATTGGCTGAGACATCTGCTGGTCATCCTATAGGGGTAACATTGTACATGCTAAGTCATTTTTTCTTGCTGACTTCAAGATTCTCGGTGTTTTAACATTTGAATCTCTGATTAAAATGTGTCTTGTCATGGGTCTCCCTGTGTTGCTACTAGTTGGTAAAGTTTCATTAAATTTTAGGCCATTTTCTCCTTCAAATTTTGAGAGTTCTCAGCCACTGTTTGTTTCTTGAAATAACTTTGCTGCTCTCTTTTCTCTCTTTTTATTTTAGAATTCCCATTAGAAGTATATTGGCCATCTTAATGGTATCCCATAAGTCCCTTAGGCTCTCTTAATTTTTAAAATTATTTTTACCCTCCTCACCATATAATTTCAAAAGACTTCTTATGAAGCTTGCTGGATTTTTTCCTGCTAGATCAAACCAGTTGTTGGACCTTCTAGTGAATCTCTAAATTCAGGTATTTTATTTTTCAGCTCCACACTTTATGTTTCTATTTTGTACTTTTAATCACTTCATTGATAATCTCATTATCTTCATGAATTGTTTTCTTTTTCTGTTTAGCTTTCTATGTTCTTCTTTAGCTGAATGAGCATCTTTAAGCTAGGTGTTTTAGCCAGGCACAATGATATGTGTGTCTAATTCCAGCTACTTTGAAAGCTAAGGCAAGGGGATTACTGTATTAATAAATTCTCATGCTGTTAATAAAGACATAACCAAGACTGGATAATTCATAATGAAAAAGGTTAATGGCCTCACAGTTTCACATGGCTGGGGAGGTCTCACAATTATTGGAGCAAGCAAGAGACTTTGTTCAGGGGAACCTCCACTTATAAAACCATCAGATCACGTGAGACTTTTTTGCTATCATGAGAACAGCATGGGAAAATCCCACCCCCATGATTCAATTACCTCCCACAGGGTCCCTCCCAGGACATGTGGAGATTATTACAATTCAAGATGAGATTTGGTTGGGGACAGAGAGCCAAACCATATCAATTACTTAAGGCTAGGAGTTTGAGACCACCCTGGGCAATATTGTGAGAAGCTATATGTAAAAAATATTTTTACAGATTAATCATGAATGGTGGAATGTTCCTGTAGTCTCGGAAGTTGGAGGCTGATGTAAGATTATTCCTTGAGTTCCCAGGAATTTGACGCTGCATTGAGTTATAACCATGATATTGTATTCCTGTCTGGGTGAGAGAGTAAGACCGCCTTTTAGAATTTCAAATTTGTTTTAGATTTAGGAGGTACCTACACAGGTTTTTTACATGGGTATTTTGTATAGTGCTGAGGTTTGAAATATAAGTAATTCCATCACTTATGCAGTGAGCATAGTACTAAATAGACAGTTTTTCAGTTCTTGATCCCTCCCTCTCTCCACCCTCTAAGAGTTGTCTTTTATTTTTATTTTTATGTCCATGTGTACCCAGTGTTAATTTCCATTTATAAGTGAGAACATCAGTATTTTTGTTTTCCATTTCTGCATTAATTTGATTGTAGAATGACCTTTAGTTGTATTAATGTTGCTGCAAAGGACAAGTTTTTTTGTTGTTGTTGTTGTTTTTGCTAAGTAGTATTGCTGTACATGTGACACTTTTTAAATTCAATTTAGCATTAATAGGCTGGACACGGTGGCTGATGCCTGTAATCCCAGCACTGTGGGAGGCCAAGGTGAGTGGATCATGAGGTCAGGAGATCGAGACCATCCTGGACAGCATAATGAAACCCCCGTCTCTACTGAAAATACAAAAGTTAGCCGGACGTGTTGTCATGAGCCTGTAGTCCCAGCTACTCGGGTGGCTGAGGCAGGAGAATTGCTTGAACCTGGGAGGTGGAGGTTGTAGTGAGCTGAGATAGTGCCACTGCACTCCAGCCTGGGCAACAGAGTGAGACTTCATCTCAAAAAAAAAAAAATACCATTAATAGTCACGTAGGTTGATTCATGTCTTTCCTGTTATAAATAATGCAGTGATGAACCAACAAGTGCATGTGCTGTTTTGGTAGAATAGTTTATTCTCTTCTGGGTATACACCCAGCGGTGAAATTCTGCGTTGAATCATAGTTCAACTCTCAGTTATTTGGAAAATCTCCAAGCTGCTCTCCACAGTGGCTGAACTAATTTATATTCCTATAAACAGTGTATAAGTGGTTTTTTCCCTCTAAAACCCCACCAATATCTACTATCATTTTACTTTTTAACAAAAGCCATTCTAACTGGTGTACGATGGTGTCTTACTGTGGTTTTTATTTACATTTCCTTGATGGTTAGTGATAAGCTTTTTTCATGTTGTTTGGCCACTTGTATGTATTCTTTTGAACATTGTCTGTTATTGCCCACTTTTTCATGGGGTAATTTTTTGCTTGTGAATTCTTTAAGTTTCTTATAGATTCTGAGTATTAGATTTTGTCAGGTTTATAGGTTGTGAATATTTTTGCCATTCTGCCAGCTTTGGGGTTAGTTTGTTTTTGTTTTTCTAGTTTCTCTAAGTGTGATGTTAAATTGTTAGTTTGAGATCATTCTAACTTCTTGATGCAGGTATTTAGCACTCTCAACTTTCCTCTTAACAGAGCTTTTCCTACAACCCAGACATTTTAGTATATTGTGTCTCTTCATTTATTTCAAATTTTTTTTAAGTTTCTGCCTCAATTTTGTTGTTTACCCAAAATTCATTCAGGAGCAAGTTGTTTAATTTCAATGCCATTCTGTGATTTTGTGAGATTTTGTTGGTATTGATATTTATCTTTTTTCCATTGTGGCCTGACAGTATGGTTGGCATAATTTTCATTTTTAAAAAATGTATGGATAATTGCTTTATGGCTAGGAAGTGGTCAATCCTAGAGTATATTCTGTGAGCGATGAGAAGAATTTATGTTCCTTAGATGATGTGTGGTGTATACTATAAATGTCTATTAGTTTCAATTGATCAAGTGCGAAATCAAACTCCAGAATTTCTTTGTTAAGTTTCTGCCTAGATAATCTGACAAACACTGTTATTGGGGAGTTGCGTTTCCCTACTATTATTGCGTGGCTACTTGAGTCTTATTGTAGGTCTAGCAGTACTTGTTGTATAACTCTATGTTCCCCAAAGTTGGGTGCATCTATATTTAGGATAGTTAAGTCTTCTTGTTGAATTGAACTCTCTATCGTTATGCAATGCCTTTCTTTGTTTTATTTTACTATTAATGATTTAAAGTCCTTTTTTCTTAAAAGAGAAACAATTCCAGGTATGGTGGCTCATGCCAGCACTTTCAGACTGAGGCAGTAGGATTGCCTGAGACCAGGAGTTTGAGACCAGCCGAGGCAACATAACAACATTCTGTTTGTACAGATTCTTTTAAAGAAACTATACAGGTGTGGTAGTGTGCCCAACTGTGGTCATATTTACTCAGGAGACATAGGAGGCATGACTGCTTTACTTCAGAAATTTGAGGTTACAGTGAGCTGTGATTGCACCACTGCCATCTGTCCCAGGAGATAGAGTAAGATCCTGTGTATAAAATGAAAAAATAAAGAAAAATAAAATGATTTTAAGTTAAAAAATAATTCATAGATCTCCACTTCTTTAGGGTCACTTGAATATATATTTTTCTCGTTTCATTAGGCTATATTTCCTGGTTGCTTTTAAGTACTGTGGTTTTGTTAAGGTTTTGGTCAATTAAGAAACCACTACCTATTTTATCCTTTATGAAAAAGCTTTGTACATGGGAAAATTGACAATATTCAGCCACACTAGTCATTCCGGGAGCTTCTCCAATCTGTTGTCAAAATGTGTCTTCTTTGTACTGTATGTATTTTCTTGTTAATAAGGTTTACCTCTCTTTCCTCTTAGGAGCCTTTAGTCTCTTCTCTTTGTCACTGTTGCAGGCACTACAGTCTCTTTGTTGTAAGAAATATTTATCTTTATTCTCAGTCGACCCAAGCTGTCATTTAAACTCTATCTCTATTCTGGTCAACACTAAATGTTAAAGGTATAAATCAATAAGTCAGAAGTTTGCATACACGTTTCACTCTGTTTTCTTTCCCGAGGGAGAATCATGGAATGGACAGAATTTTATCTAACTGCACTGTTCTGTAGTGCAGAAATGTAACCAAATTTTCTTTCTTCTAAATGTGGTTATGGTTGGCTTTTTTCTCATGAGGGGTGCTACAAACTCAACTGGCTTTGCTCACCCAATTGCAGTTAAGTTCATACATCCATTGAGAGAAACAGGATCTCAGGTTCTTCTTCAACTATCATTGTGTTCTCAGCTGGCCTCATTTTGTTCATTAGATTTATAAAATATATTTACCTTAATTTCATCACCGAATTTTTTAAAAAATTATTATTTTCCAGCTTTTAGCATTATATCCAACAAGACCTAGACAAAACAGTACATAGGAGCTTCTTTTCAAAAAGTAATATTGGGAAGATATGGGAGCTCTGGCCTTGAAAATTTACACTTAAGGAGAGTGGGAAATTGAAGGATAAGTGTAAAGGGTACAAAGGATGCTATGATGAATATACCAGATATAGAGCAACTACCTACAGCAAAAATGTCACTGCTAGAAGAGCTCAAAACCATAAAGTATTTTGGAAAAAGCATAATTAATGTTGATTCTTTTTTCTGAACTATATATTTGTATAATTACATATCAATAACAATTTTTGAAACATCATGTTTTTGAAACAAAATTTAGAAAATCGCAATAGTGGCCTAGGCCAGGAATATATCTTCTAATGCTATCCCTCCCATAGTCCCCCACTTCCTGACAGGCTCCAGTGTGTGGTGTTCCCCTTCCTGTGTCCCTGTGTTCTCTTTGTTTAACTCCCAACTATGAGAGAGAACATGTGATGTTTGCTTTTCTACTCTTGTGTTAGTTTGCTGAGAATGGTGGTTTCCAGCTTCATCCATGTCCCTGCAAAGGACATGAACTCATCCTTTTTATGACTGCATTGTATTCCATGATGTATACATGCCACATTTTCTTTATTCATTCTACCACTGATGGGCATTTGGTTTGGTTCAAAGTTTTTGCTCTTGTGCACAGTGCCATAATAAACATATGTTTGCATGTGTCTAAGTAGTAGAATAATTTATAATCATTTGGTTATATACCCAGTAATGGGATTGCTGGATCAAATGGTATTTCTCATTGTAGATCCTTGAGGAATTGCCATACTGTCTTCCACAATGGTTGAACTAATTTACACTCTCACCAACAGTGTAAAAGTGTTCCTATTTCTCCACATCCTCTCCAGCATCTGTTGTTTCCTGATTTTTCCAATGATCACCATTCTAACTGGAGTGAGATGGTTTCTCACTGTGTTTTTGATTTGCATTTATCTAATGACCAGTGATGATGAGTTTTTTTTTCATATGTTTGTTGGCTGCATAAATGTCTTCTTTTCAGAAGTGTCTGTTCATGTCCTTTGCCCATTTTTGATATGGTTGTTTGTTTTTTTCTTGTAAATTTGCTTAAGTTTTTTGTAGATTCTGCATATTAGCCCATTGTCAGATGGATAGATTGCATAAATTTTCTCCTTTCTGTGGGTTGCCTGTTCACTCTGATGATAGTTTCTTTTGTTGTGAAGAAGCTCTTTACTTTAATTACATCTCGTTTGTCAATTTTGGCTTTTGTTGCCATTGTTTTTGCTGTTTTAGTCATGAAGTCTTTGCCCACGCCTATGTCCTGAATGGTAATGCCTTTGTTTTTTGGGGGGTTTTTATGGTTTTAAGTCTTACATTTAAGTCTTTAATCCATCTTCAGTTAATTTTTGTATAACTAGTAAGGAAGACGTCCAGTTTCATTTTTTTGCATATGGCTATCTAGTTTTCCCAACACCATTTATTAAATAAGGAATCCTTTCCCCATTACTTGTTTTTGTCAGGTTCATCAAAGATCAGATGGTTGTAGATGTTTGATGTTATTTCTGGGGCCTCTGTTCTGTTCCATTTGTCAATATATCTGTTTTGGTACCAGTACCATACTGTCTTGGTTACTGTGGCCTTTTAGTATAGTTTGAAGATAGCTAGTGTGATGCCTCCACTTTTGTTCTTTTTGCTTAGGATTGTCTTGTCTATGCAGGATCTTTTTTGATTCCATATGAAATTTAAAGTAGTTTTTTTTTCTAATTATGTAAAGAAAGTCAATGGGAGCTTGATGGGGATAACACTGAATTTATAAATTACTTTGGGCAGTATGGCCATTTTCACAATATTGATTCTTCCTATCCATGAGCACGGATTGTTTTTCATTTGTTTGTGTCCTCTCTTATTTCCTTGAGCAGTGGTTTGTAGATCTCCTTGAAGAAGTCCTTCCCATCCCTTTTAAGTTGGATTCCTAGGTATTTTATTCTCTTTGTAACAATTGTGAATGAGAGTTCATGCATGATTTGGCTCTCTGTTTGTCTATTATTGTGTATAGGAATTCTTGTGATTTTTGAACACTGATTTTGTATACTGAGACTTTTTTGAAGTTGCATATTGGTTTAAGGAGATTTTGGGCTGAGACGATGGGGTTTTCTAAATATACAATCATGTCAGCTGCAAACAGAGACAACTTGAGTTCCTCTTCCTATTTGATTACGCTTTGTTTCTTTCTCTTGACTGATTGCCCTGGCCAGAACTTCCAATACTATATTGAATAGGAGTGATGAGAGAGGGTATTCTTGTTTTGTGCAGATTTTCAAAAGGAATGTTTCAAGTTTTTTCCCATTCAGTATATTGGCTGTGCGTTTGTCATAAATAGCTCTTAATATGTTGAGATAAGTTCCATCAATACATAATTCATTGAGAGTTTTTACCATGAAGAGGTGTTGAATTTTGCTGAAGGCCTTTTTTGCATCTATTGAGATAATCATGTGGTTTTTGTCATTAGTTCTGTTTATGTGATGGAATACATTTATTGATTTGCATATGTTGAACAAGCTTTGCATCCGAGGGATTAAGCTGACTAGATCGTGGTGGATAAGCTTTTTGATGTGCTGCTGGATTCGGTTTGCCAGTATTTTATTGAGGATTTTCGCATCGATATTCATCAGGGATACGGGCCTGAAATTTTCTTTTTCTGGTGTGTCTTTGCCAAGTTTTGGTTTCAGGATGATGCTGGATGCATAAAATGAGTTAAGGAGGAGTACCTCTTTTCTATTGTTTGAAATAGTTTCAGAAGGAATGGTACCAGCTCCTCTTTGTACCTTTGGTAGAATTCGGCTGTGAATCCTTCTGGTTCTGGACTTCTTTTGGTTGGTAGGCTATTAGTTACTGCCTCAATTTTAGAACTTGTTATTGGCATATTCAGGCATTCGACTTCTTACTGGTTTGGACTTGGGAGGGTATATGTGTCCAGGAATTTATCCATTTCGTCTAGATTTTCTAGTTAATTTGCAAAGAGTTTTTTATAATATTCTCTAATGGTAATTTTTATTTCTGTGGATCAATGGTTATATCCCCTTTATCATTTCCTATTGCATGTATTTGATTCTTCTCTTCTTCCTTATTACTCTGGCTAGCAGTTTATTTATTTCTTGATCTTTTCAAAAAAACAGCTCCTGGATTCGTTGATTTTTTGGACGGGCTTTTTGTGTGTCTATCTCCTTCAGTTCTGCTGTGATCTTAATTATTTCTTGTCTTCTGCTAGCTTTTGAATTTGTTTGCTCTTGCTTCCCTAGATTTTTAATTGTGATATTATGATGCCGATTTTAGACCTTTTCTGCTTTCTCTTGTGGGCATTTAGTGCCATAAATTTCCCTTTGCACACTACTTTAGCTGTATCATATTTTAATTTTTAAGCCCTCAATCTTTCTTTTTCATCATGACAGTCTTGACTGTTTTATGTTTATGAAAACTGTAAAATTGTCTACACAGTTTTTACAAAGACTTTACCAAAATATTTTATTGAGAATGTACAAACCTGTCAGTCAATTAGGGGAGAAGTTGCATTGTAGTAATAAATAGCCACAAAACAAAACCCTGAAGGACATCCAAACCAGAATAAAACAAAACATTTTAACAAAGAGAAAAAGAACAATCTCGCAACAAATATGTGCAGTTTATATCACAAAGATGTTCACATCTCCACTTTAAAGAGAGCTTTTAGAAGTTGATTTAAAATATGGGAAAAGACATTATCCCACACCACAGAAAAAATAAATTTAAGCAGCTCTTAACACATGAACGTATTATCAAGCTCAGATGGAATCAAAATTAAATATTTGACAACAGATTCTACAGTTTGAGAGAAATAGAAAAGTGTTTTTTTCTTTTCTCCAGGTCCACAAGTCTAGTTTCTTGGACTCTCTCACTATAATGGAGGTTGTCATCAGCTCCCCAAAATAAGGGAAGCACAGAGCAGATGGTGGCTGAAGGTGGGGAATCCTGTGAAATCATATTTAAGATCATAGCCCGTGGTCCATTGTATTGTAATCAGCTGGCTCAGGAAAGAAGATCTGGATCTCCTGAGCTCTACACCTACTGCAATGGATATGTCAGGAGTCCCGAGAACCTCTGGGGCCCAAACCCCTCCCACCAAAATATATCATCCAGTATTGAGGACTCTGACACCAAATTCTCACAGAGCATATGCTTATGCAATTTTACATTTAATTTCTCATTACATTACAATTGGGAAAATGAGGCCCCAAAAGAGGCAGGGACTGATCCAGATCTCAGGAGGTGGGCAGGCTCCAGAGCATTAGAGAGAGCTCCAGCTTCCTAGGCCTTGGCTCCATCCCACCTATCAGGTTTGCTTTGGAAGTTAGAGCCTGTAGCTTCACATTCAGGGGCACAGAGAATGAGCAGATCCAGGGTTCTGTTCACATGGGGACCTCTCCATGTCAATTTCAAGATGACAGGACTGGGGTTTTGCATCCAGCTCTGAGGGCACCTGGAAGTAAAATGAGCTATGCTCCACCTCAGCCTAATGTAGAGAATGCCTGCAGGAAAGCCTGTTTTCTTCCTCATAAATAGGGCTGTTTGAACTGGGTGACCTCGACGATTTCACATACTCATAAGTGTCTTCCAGCCCTGATTCTTGCTCTGAGACTGTGCAGAAATGCATCCACTCTCTGTAGGTCCTTCAAATCAGAGGGAGGCATGGCCACTTCAGAGGCATCTTGGGTAGATGAAGATGAGACGGAGCTAAATGTTCCAGAGCACTGGACTCTGAGGCTGAAGTCCACGGAAAATCCCAGCTCCTGTTGGGTTCTTAAGGTCCTCATTTGAAAGTGGTAGAAACTAATTTCACTGGATAAGGGGAGGATATCTCATGGATAAATAGCACAACCCAAAAGGTAGAGGCAAATAGAAGGCAAAGGGGGATTCCAAGGTCACTCATTGTACTTGGGGCCTTCAGATTCTGCTACTTTATCCCCTAGGACCTTGAAGAACCAGTGTCTTGAGGACAGAAAAATCAAGATACCTGATTTGTTCCATAGTGCTCCTGCATTGGGCCATAGAGTTAGTGATGGCCTGGAGGTGGTTACAGCCAGCTCTGTTTCTGGTGCCCACTGAGCTTTGCTGGAGCAGCTGGAACAAGTAAGAGTCACACATCTCATGTTGTTATCAATGATCTCCACATTATCAGGTGGTCAAAAGAGGAAGGGATATTAGAGATCCTCCATATAATCACTTAGCCAGTCTTTTTTCCCTTGCGCTCACCCTTTGCCAGCTAACCAGGTGGGTGCAACGTGGTACAGAAAATTATTACATGATGCCTGCACCCCCCAACCCAGGACCAAACATTCTGAGGACAGCTGGATAAAAGCACTAAAGCAAGTATATGTGAAAGAAAAGAGGAAGGACTATAATATAAAGTGGAATGTTGAGAAGAAAAGCTGGAAAATTATTGCATGGGAGGAACTAAGGCCTCATTGTGGTGATGTTTAATCCATGATAAGGATGACAACAGGGAGACATCTCTGCACAAGTATGTGTCAGGGAGAAGCCACCCTTAGTGAAGAGACTCATAGGTGTGAGTTCGGCAGAGGTTAGAAAGTTTGGCTGCAGACAGCCTGAGGAAGATATAAGTAGAGGGATGGAGAATCCTAGGGCCTGGGAGATGAAGTTAGATATCTGCTCCTTTCTGACAACATTGCCCTAAAAGTCAGCACTTTTCAACAACATATAATATCTCATAATTTATGTGGACCAGAATCTGGACACAGTTCAGTTGGGTACCTCTGCCTTTAGGTCTTTTATGACATTGGGACTGTGGTCTTAACTGAAGCTGGACTGGGAAAGCATGAGCCTTTAAGCTGACTCATGTGAAAATTGGCAGGGTTTAGTGTGGCTGGAGAGCCTGACTTTCCTTCTCTCTACTGGTCTGAGCACCCCCTCAGGCTCTGTTATGTTGGTCTTTACATGGAGCATCTCATAGCATTGAAGCTTGCTTCCTGTGTTTGAGGTATACAATAGAGAGAGAGAATTAGACAAAAAGGTGTACACAAAAAGAGACAGAGAAAGATTGAGGGCGCAAACAGGAAAAACCCAGTAGGAGAAAAATGAGAGCTTTAGAAAAATCTTGACAGGGTGCGGTGGCTCACACCTGTAATCCCAACACTTTGGGATGCTGAGACGGGTGGATCACCTGAGGTCAGGGGTTTGAAAGCAGCCTGGACAATATGGTGAAACCACCGTCTCTTCTAAAAGTACAAAATGAGCAAGGTGTGGTGGTGCATGCCTGTAATCCCAGCTACTTGGGAGACTGACGCAGGGGAATCATTTGAACCTGGGAGGCGAAGGTTCCAGCAAGCCGAGATCACACCACTGCACTCCTGCCTGGGATACAAGAGTGAAACTGTCTCAAAAAAAAAAAAAAAGGAAACAAAAATCTTGAGAGTTCCAATAATTTTTCTCCTGTATTTATGTTAAAATTGTAACCCCCGTTGTAATGCTATACGGATGAAAGATGTACTTAACTCCTGAGGGTGGGACCTTCATAATAGAGATTACTGGCTTTATACAAGGAACCGCAGAGGGCTCTCTTCCTCCTTCTGCAAAATGATGGTAAAACTTGAAGTCTGCAGTCTGAAATTCAGAAGCGAGTCATCACCAGAGCTCAACCGTGCTGACAACCTGATCTCAAATTTCGAACCTATAGAAGTATGAGAAATTAAGTCCTGTTGTCTATAAGCTGCTTATCTATGGTTCTTTGGCATAGCAGCCTGAACTAATACAAAAGTGATATCCTTTTCTGTATTTCATTGGACAGAAGCTGAATTTGTACCCCTATGCTGTTAAAAAAATGACTTAAAATGGATTTTCAGAATGAAAGATAGGAAATGGCTTGTTGAAACACTAAAATTTTATGTGCTTATAAGATTTTTAAACATTGGCTGAAATTGTTGGAACTGATATGGCCAAATGAAGTCCATGAAGAATCAGATTGCATATGTTAGAGCCCAAATTTCCATTGTGTGTTTCATACTAACTCTCCCTGAATTTGCATGTGACTTGAGAGGAAGCAAGAAGAGATGACAGTATATGTCTCATGACTTTCCATATTCCTACTTTCCTTCCAGCAATCCCTTACAGAACCCACCTCTTAGGCCTTTTCTAATCACTGCCTTAAAGCCAGTATAAGAAAACAAATTTCAGCTGGACTGCTATCTCCTTTTTGGCCAACCTACAACATGATATTTTCCTCAAAACCCAAGGGCCATATTACTGTCATCAGGCTGTAGGCCATTTTATTCAATAAAAAACTGAGTCACTAACCACCTAGTACTGTGAGATTTTGTGAAGAGTTTCCCTGTCATAGACGTGAGAAGGCACATGGATATGATTCTAAATATAAAGAGAAAGCACTAGAAAGTTGAATGGCTGTATTAGGACTTTGTCATACTGCAATGATGAAGTACTTGAGACTGGGTAATTGATAAAGAAAAGAAGTTTAATTGACTCACAGTTCCACATAATTGGGAGGGCACCTCAGAAACCTTCCAATTACAGTGGCTGACAAGTGAAGTGAGTGAGAGCATGGGATGTACCAGATGCTTATGAAACTATCAGATCTCATGAGAACTCACTATCACAAGAACAGCATGAGGAGAACCCGTCCCCATAATCCAATCATCTCCCCTCAGGTTTCTCCCTTAACACCTGGGGGTTATAATACACAGAGAAGTTTGGGTGGAACACACAGCTAAACTATATGAATGCCAGAGGACAGTATCTACATTTAATTTCAACTTCATACTGGAGCAGAATGAAAATGAAGCGCAGTGGAGAAGTGACATTCCCAAGATCACCCTGCCAGACCCAGGCTTGTTTGAGTTGTGGCCCATGCTACCTTCTACATATTCTCCTAATGCTTCCATCTCTAAGTGTGTGCATTATCTACAGGTAACACCACATGATTTTTATGTTTTATCTTATATACATCTAATACAATCCCTAGGAAGTAGATGTTAGCATCATCCCCACTGTGTATGCTTGGAGGCTGGGGAAGCCTCAAATACACAGTGACTTTTATTGGGTCCCAGAGATGGTAAGAAAAACAAGGTTATGTTCCAGCTGTCTCTTATATCCTGGAACCCAGGCTGCATTTAGTTCTTTCCAAGGAATTAAGGGGAAGTTGTGTTTGCATACTTGTGTACAAATGAAGAGTTGACATGGAAGAGGAGACTGAACAATTAGTAGCATAGTGGGGCTTTTGGGTAGGTCTTACAGAAAGAAGGGACCCAGTAGATGGAACCTTGAAGAGTTTAACACACTTTCTTGGTGACAACCCAACATCAGTTAAGAAACCAGGAACCCACATTCTTGAGACAGCTCTGTATCCACCTCTGTTAGTGAGAGATGCTCAAGAGAGTGAGATGTTCTTTCATTGTGCCCTGAAATTTCTGAGTTTTGACTTTACAAAGGCTCAGTGTAAAAGCCTTATCTGAAAACACGGATGTCAACTCAGGCCTCATCATTGATGCCCCTGGCTATTGGCTGGGTGCACCTACAAATAACACAGGGCAGCTCAGGACAGACCCCAGAGCCAGGCCTCTCTTGTCAACTCATCTGGGAAGTCCCACACCATTTCTTAGTACCATGAGTTGTATGGGGAGCAAGAGGGAGGGCACTCTTCTTTTACTGAAGCAGATTGTCAGGTGTTGGAACCCTTGTGTACCTGTCATGTTCATACCTAGGCCATAGCTGGCAGAATAAAAAGAAGAGGGTTGGAGAACGAGTCTGTGTACTCAGATGTGAATTCCAAGACTTTAACTTGTCCTCTGGTTTCCTTCCTTGCTGGAGATTCATACAGATTCTCCTTATGTGCCTAATCTGAAGAGCAGAATTTCTTTTCTTTTCTTTTCTCTTTTATTTTCTTTCTTTCTTTCTTTCTTTCTTTCTTTCTTTCTTTCTTTCTTTCTTTCTTTCTTTCTTCTTTCTTTCTTTCTTTCTTTCTTTCTTTCTTTCTTTCTTTCTTCTTTCTTTCTTTCTTCTTTCTTTCTTTCTTTCTCTTTCTTTCTTTCTTTCTTTCTTCTTTTTTTCTCTTTCTTTCTTTCTTTCTTTTTCTTTCTTTCTTCTTCCTTACTTCCTTCTGTCTTTCTTTCTCTCTTTTTCTTTTTCTTTTTCCCTTTTTGAGGAAGCCTCGCTCTGTCACCCAGGCTGGAGTGCAGAGAAAAGCAGAATTTCTAGTGGAGGTGTCACATACGGTGAAAACAAGGCAGACCACTGACTTTTCTTTGCGTGGTTTCTAGGCACTTTTTACAGAGCTGCATTCAGATTGATGAGGAGCTTCTTGATGTGGCCAACTCCTCCCTCTTTTTGGAAAAAGACCAGGTGCACTAAGCCAGCAACCACAGCCAGCACCGGGCTGTGGTAAGAGCAGCCACATAGGGGTCTCTACAGACAGAAACCCGAGAAGACCGGGACAGACCCAGTACCCAGACTCCAGTATGAAAACTCTCTGGGCTGTGTCCTATGATCTTCCCATGAGTAACTCATAGTCTTGATCCAGTGGAATCTGGCCTTCATTAGTCTCAGTGGCAAGTTGGTTATGTGGAAAGTCTCTGTTCACTCACTTGGGTGAATAACAGTAAAGACCTTTCTATTGTTTTCACTTTACATTAGGCCATGAGTATTTGTGCCTGTAGCTGCAGTTTGTGTTAGTTTCCTACCCCAGGTATCTCCTGCAGCATGCAGCTTCAGTCCTACCAGACCCTCAAAACTTAAAAGCGAACACTATTTCTAGGGAGGATTTTGCAGGAAAATGGAGAAAGGGTTACACACAAAAAAGGTTAAACTACTCTATGCATGTTTCTGCAATGTGTTATCTCAAGAATTTATCTCTGTAGCCCATCAGGGCAGGAGCTGGTCTCTCACCTGTTGATAATATTCCATAAGGGAGGTTCTTCCCCACAGTGTTTAGTCTTCCGACGCTGGTATAGCCTGACATGATGACATTCTACTTTCATGTTGGTCGTGCTGCAGGGAGAATTCTGTGAGTGTCCTAATAGGCTGGAATCACTTGCTAAGTTGAACCCCATCTTTGGTGCTCACTTTTCTGTTATCTTATAATTAGCTTTATTCTAAGCAAATCCATGTCTATTTTATTTATCTGTTTATTAACTTATTTTTATGTATGGAAAAACACATTTTTTTATTTGCTTATTTATTTAGAGACAGGGTCTCCCTCTGTCATCCAGGCTGGAATACAGTGGTAGATTGGAGTGATCATGGCTCATTGCAGCCTCAAACTCTTGAGCTCAAATGATTCTCTCACCTCAGCCTCCTGTGCCACCATGCCCTGCTAGTTGATTTTAATTTGTTATAAAGAAAGTGTCTCATTATGCTGCCCAGGCTGGTCTCAAACTCCTGGGCCCAAGCAATTCTCTCATCTCAGCCTCCCAAAGCACTAGGATTAAAAACATGAGCCACTGTACTGCGCTGTGCCTACTTCAAAGGACTGAAAATAAAAAATAAATAAATCTTTGCCAAATTAAAAAACAAAGCAATAGTTTCCAGGTCTTAGATAAAGACAATTCTCTGTCATGAAGAATGACAGAAGGCTTATTTAGCTGTTAAAATGATTTGCTTATATTTCAAAGAAGCAGAGAAAAAAAGGTACATGTAAAAGTGTTCCAGGCCACTCATGGTGGTTCATGCCTGTAATCTGAACATTTGGGGAGGCCAAGGCATGAGGATACCTTCAAGCCAAATGTTTGAGTCCAGTACAGGCAATATGGTGAAATTCTGTCACTACAAAAAAATAAAATAAATATGGCTGGGCATGTTGGCTCACACCTGTAATCCCAGCACTTTGGGAGTCTGAGGCAGGTGGATAATGAGGTCAGGGGGTGGAGACCAGCCTGGCCAAAATGGTAAAACCCATTCTCTACTAAAAATAATAATAACAAAAAATTAGCCAGACATGGTGGTGTGCGCCTGTAATCCCAGCTACTCAAAAGGCTGAGACAGGAGAATTGCTTGAACCTGGGAGGTGGAGGTTGCATTGAGACAAGATCATGGCACTACACTCCAGCCTAGCCCACAGAGCAAGACACTGTCTTGAAAAAAAATAAAAACAAAAATAAATAAAGCTAGCCAGGCATGGTGGTTCATGCCTATAGTCCTAGGTAATTAAGCGGTTGATGCAGGAGGACTGCTCAAACCCAAGAGGTTAAGGTTACCGTGAGCTATGATTATGCCGTTGCACTTCAGGCTAAGTAAAAGAGTAAGATTCTGCCTCAAAAAATTACTAATTAAAGTTTTCCAGATTACATTGTTTAAGAAAAAGGAAAAGAAAAAAATCTTTTTTTTATTTTCAAATGGGAGAATAGAGCCTCTCATTTCTAATTTGTATTGCCTTCTGCAAAAACTTAGTCTAGGCCCATGGTCTTGAACTACTGGACATCTGAATTTTGGTAGGTGCTGGATTCAGGCAACTGAGGGGTGGCCTTGGGCACACTGTGTGCACATAAAAGAAAGGGTTTGAGGTGAACTAAAAGGTAAAAGAGGGGAAGGTGCTATTAAGAAACCAGAAGTGAGAGACTGTACAGGGTTGGTGGGAGGACTGGTTCATGCTACAGACACTGACCCAGGTGAAACTTTTCTCTGAGTTATTTCTATGTTCATGCAGGAAGACGAGATTATGATCAGGTGGCACAGAAATCTGCGATGGTGAAAAAACCAGGTTGCCACTGCAGATTCGGTGTCTGAAGTAGAACATATGCCAGGGGTCTTGTAGGCACGTGTGTGGGTTTTTGGTGGGAAAGTCTATGAGGAAAGGTAGGATGGGCAACAATCTTGATGCCAAAGCCTTGTCCTGAGAGGGGCTTGACCACGTCAACATGCAGTGTGTATGTTCAGTGGGTGAAAAACATGTGGTGACCTCAGGTTGGCAGGAGGGTAGAAGGCATCTGTTCTCAGAACTTCTTCCCTCAGAGTCGTCGGTCCTTCTTACCATGGGAGGATGCCTGGAACCACAGGGCAGTGCATGGCGTAGCAGCCTGTGTGCAGAGCAGAACCTACCTTCCCCGAGACACCTGGAGTCTCTCTCCAGCAAAGGCCCCCACATTGTCTTTCTCCTTACAACACTTTTGATCCTAAATGTGTAAAGTTCCCTGAAAACCCACTGCTTCTCCAACACCCATTTCTTGCCCCAAAATTTAATTCTGACACAACTTAGAGTTCGCACAGATCCCACAAATTCAGGGCTAAGTCCCACATCACCCCTCTCACTGCAGAGGTTAGTCACATGTCCCATAAGCCCATCTATACTTCTGAGCTACTGCCTATAAATCTGAGACTCCCATAAACCCCTTTTCAAGTTAAATAATTTGATAGAGTTACTCAAAAAAACTCAACAAATAAGTCTAATTATATTTACCACTTTATTATAAAAATACAACTCAGAAACTGACAAATGAAAGAGATGTCTAGGAAAAGGAACAGTTGTGGGTGAAGGTAATCCTGGAAATAGCTATATTTAAAGAAATTCCCCCATTCTTTGTGTTCTCAAAGAACAGCTTAGTGAAGAGAAACGTGCTTCCCATTATGACTTTGTGGATGTTCCCCCCCCCCCCTTTTTTTTAACCTATCACAAAGACGGACACAGATTACAAATTCCTATTTTTAAAAATGAACAACCATTCTGTAATTTAGTCTTCAGTGGTCAAAACAGAGTACTTGTTAACAAAACTTTGCTTGTTCCCCTTCTTCCCTCAGCCCCTGAACTTTGACTCACCCACAGCCTCAGAGAACCTACAACCCATATTTATACATATCCCTCCTAAGAACAGGCTGACTTCAAGATGAAACATTATCTTATCTGGGATCTGATTTTGCTACCCTCCATCCTGTGCTTCCTTTCCAACCTTCTTTGTAAACTTATTTTCTCCTCCCTATGAAATAAAACCCTTTTCCACCTAACCTTTGAGATCCTCAAAGATCTAATCATTTGTACTTTTTCCTTGTTACAACACTTCTTAAGTAACTTCTTAGACAAAGTCTATAAACAGTCTCAGGACAATAACAACTCCATTCTAGAAAGAATATCCCAACTTTTCTTCAATCTCAACCCCAACTGCATCTGCCTGTCAACTTCCAGCTTACCAAAGCTCTGTATCTTCTGACAGTGACAAAGGCTCCTTCTATGGTTGGTGTGAGCAGACTTTGATGTCTGCAGGGCAGACACCCAGGAATAATCAACTGGGCCTTCAGTGGCCCCCTTTTGCAGGGTCAACGTTAGCCTTAGCTTTTAGTCAACGGTCTAAGACTTCTACTTACCAGTTAAAGTCATTCAATTAGTTTTCAATTTAAAAAATACTTCATGTTTGAAGAATCCAGCAAAAATCATTCAAATCTAAGGTTTAAAAGAGAGGAAATTATGGTCGGGCATGGTGGCTCATGCCTGTAATCCCTGCATTTTGGGAGGCTGAGGCGGGCAGATTACCTGAGGTCAGGAGTTCGAGACCAGCCTCACTAACATGAAGAAACACAGTCTCTACTAAAAATACAAACTTAAACGGGGGTGGTCGTGTATTCCTGTAATCCCAGTTACTTGGGAGGCCGAGGCAGGAGAATTGCTTGAACCCGGGAGGTGGAGGTTACAGTGAGCCAATATCGTGCCATTGCACTCCAGACTGGGCAACAAGAGTGACACTAAGTCTAAAAAATAAAATTAAAATTAAAAAAGAAAGTTATAAGGGGCTTACATTTTATAACTCAACAAGAAAAGCCAAAGTATCTATCCCTTTCAGAAAATAAACATGTAATTTAATTATGTTCATAACAAATCATTTAGTAAACAATCATATGTGAACACTTCCAGGCGGTGCCAAGTCCCAGCTCCTAAAACTTAGCGTTACCCTCAAACACCCAGATGACAGCATATGGAACAGAGATACTCACTATCAGAAGTTCTCTGTTTTGAAAAAAGAATAACTGATGTGATAAATTTATGTAATTTAACAATTAATCTACCTCACGTGCTTGTAGGTATGTATTCATTTCCTACCACCGTAGTGGAAGAGAGACTATCCCTATCAATACACCTGGTAACATTCCCAACAGTAAGCCGTGAGATTCTGCTTGAAATCACCTCTCAGACAAATAAAAAACAGTCCTGGGAAATGTACGACACTCATTCTGCTAAAGAAATAGGCAAGTAACAATTTTTAACAAGTGAAATATATTACTACTTAATTTTATTCAAAATTCACCAACTTAATGTGCTTTATAAATATTTTCATGCCTTTCAAGCTCTACTGATAAAACATAGTTTACAGTTAATTAAAAAGTGAAGTTAAAGTAAGTACAAAAACATTTTCAAGGTGACAAAATTAGAAGGTGACAGTGCCGATTGAAACACAGACATATCAGACCCAAGGGTCAAGTCAAGCCATTCTATTACTTGGGATATTTTCCCCACTCACATCTGGTTCAGTGAAGTGGGTCATGACCATCCTACCAGGAGCCGCTACCCTGTGCTCCTCTGTGTCCCTGAGGTGCATTTTACTTTGCAGGTTTTTGCACTGCCTCACTAGGTTGGGTTTCTTTGTCCTTTGAAATATTTTCTCTCCCTTCACCAATCTGAGAACATTTTTTCCTCAATATCAGCATCCATTTGCCTGGCCTGCAATGTGTCTCTAAGGAATGGAAACTAAGCTTTGGGGTAAGAAAATCTTAATGACCTAATGGGTTTGCTTTTAGCGCAAGGGTATACCTAGAGATTCCTTCCAGGCACAGCTCAAACAACCACTCCACAGAGAGGCTGCATTCCCATACCTTGGGCTGTTCCCTGAGAGGAGATGACACAAGGGATGCTATTTACTAGACACTTCAAGAGTCATGGCCACTGTTGGCATCTTGGGGAATCCTCAAACAGTTTTGAAATTCAAAACCAAGAAAATAACAGGATGGCTGAGGATGTATTGCCCTGTGAAGTTTCCAAAATGAAACCTGAACCCAAAGGCTTTCTGATGGGGTGTCTGTGCCAAGAGAAGTTTAAACAAAGGGGCACAAAGGTTTTCCGCTTTTTATTTATTTTTTTTACAGTGGGGTGTCAGGGGATTATTCTCTGCTTTCATCTCCTGTAAAATGTTTACAAATGAGAAAAAATTTTTTTAAATGACATCCACTGCTTTTTGACAAAAAGAAGAATTGAAATACTGTGTCTGAAATGTACAATAAAGAACAGTTGATAATGTTGTGAATTATGGAAGGTTAGTTAGTGTTGGTGAGTGTCAGGAAAGAACTGGAAATTTAAAATCTGATTGCAAGCCAGAGTTAGGCTGGGGCAACAGGGAGTTAGATTTGAGTCTCTGCCTGCCACACATTTGGAAAATGCATGAGAAAACTAGTTCCCTTTTGGAGTGTTAAAATAACTAAAAAACAGGTGATTATGTTGAGGTGGCTCTAGTGTCCTGAGCTCTGAGTGGAGAGACAGGCCAAGGCCTCCGTACTTCCAAAAAGCTGCCCATTCTTCTCCAGCTGTGCACCTGATTAGATAGTTTCCACTCCAAGACCCATGATTGGATGTAGTTCAATTCCCTACCCTGCCGCCTCAGACCATGAGTGACATATGTGATTTGACACTGGGTTGAATAAAGCAAGAATTATAGGTTTTTCCTGGATCCTTTTCTAGCAGGGCTTCCTCTGTGAACTAGAAACTGGCCCTGCCTGTAAAATATTTGCATTTACATTTGTATGTAAGATTATTTGTATTAATGAATAATATATATGTGTTATTCATATATGGAATCAATATAATGACAATTGTTTTAAAATTTCAGATGTTTTACTTTCCTGGCACATCCAGGTTTTAGAGCAGGCAGCCTGAGATTTCAAAAGGGAGGCAATTCTCTAAGAAATAATATGAGAGGCACAAGTGAATTTTAAATATTCTGGTAACTACATTTTAATAAATACACCGGGCATGCTTCCCTGTGCCTGTAGGTCGAACTATTAGGGAGACTGAGGTGGGAGGATCACTTGAGACCAGGAGTTTGAGACCAGCCCAGGCAGCATAGAGAAAGCCATCTCTACAAAAAAAAAAAAAAAAAAAAAAAAAAAAAAAAAATTGAAAAATTAGCCAGGCCTGGTGGTGCATGACTTCAGTCCCAGCTACTCAGAAGGCTGGAGCTGGAGGATCACCTGAGCCTGGGAGGTCAAGGCTGCAATGAACCATGATCACACAACTGCACTCCAGCCTGGCTGACAGAGCAAAACTCTGTCTCAAAAAACTGATCTCTGGAAAGGCAATTTGTTTTTCTGCAATGTAGCCAAGCAGCTAAGTATGTATTGAAGCCATCCTTTAATTTTTAACAGGGCAAGAAAGCTTTCTAAGACCCCGAACTCCAGATATGCGATGGGGCAAATCCTGAAGCGTACATGGCTATCTCTCACAGCTAAAGCATCCCTCACCCCTATCCAGTGCTTCTTACCCCTGGCGCAAGAGAATCACCTGCGGGGAGGAAAACTTTCAAAATCCCTTAAACCCAAGTTGTAACCGCACAACTAAATCAGAATCCTTGGAGCTGGATCTGAAAAAAATATGGTTGAAAGTCGTGCAGGTGATTACAATGTGTAGGCAAGCCAGAAAACCATGGCTTTAACGAGCAGCTTTTGTTAGAAATGATTTCTCCAATGAATGTGAAAACGTTTGCTGCTGAATTGTGACCTTTCCATTTTATCTGCTTTTCCTGCAAAGTATATTTTGCAGACCCGGGCTGGCTTCTCCTTCTGTTCCTGGTTCACCCAGTGCCGTGTGTGCTCAGTGCATCCTGTGCACGGGTCACTGTGTGCCCTGGCCTGGGTGAGCATCATTCTTCGGGGAGAACCTTGATGAAAACAAAGCTGCATTCCAAAAAGTTAAAACCATGCTACTTACTGTGTTGAAGTAAAAATTAAAAGACCCAGGGGGGCTCACCCAAAAGTTAAAACATAAATAAATAACTTGGAACATTAACATACACCTGATGATGTCCTGAGTGAACACGCCCCACTTGAAAACAAAACAAAACATTGCTATTATTCTAAAATATTAATTTAGGATTGTTATGCAAACATGCACTCTTTACATTTTTATTGATAAATAACATGCATACAGCAATATAGGCACAAAGCATTTAGGGAATGTTTGATGAATTATTACTAAATAAATACACTTGTGTATCTAAGAATCAGATTTGTTCATGCCCCTGACACTTTCCCCTTCCCAAAGGTAACCAAGACCTTAAGAGCTAAGTGTAGATAAACTTTGTCATTTTGTACAAGTGTTTTATTACAGATCACTAAAAACATACACAATACAAAAAAAGTATAACAGACCAGTCACCCAGCTTTAACAGCTGCTAGTCATGTGTCATTTTTGTTTTATCTATACTTCCAGCCATGCCCCCACCCCCAATTTCATTATTTTTTAGGCTTTTTGGATAAAATGTATATTCATTGCAAGGTACAATGCGAACTGTAAATAGTAGAGAGATGGGGTTTTACCATGTTGGTCAGGCTGTTCTTGAACTCCTGACCTCAGGTGATCCACTCTCTTCCACCTCGCAAAGTGCTGGGATTACAGGCGTGAGCCAATATACTCGGCCTGAGAATTCATATTTCTAATAAAGTACAAATCCATAGGGCACATGACAACTGCAATGTCTATCTACAGTAAAAACAGTTTGATGAATAAAATGAAAGGCAATTGACTTAAGGTGGGAAAAAAACAATCAAAGCATGGGTACTATGTGCCATCTGTAGGAGCATTTGGTTAAGAATAACAAACAAACCAGTTTTATTGTTTTAATAACCGAAATTGGCAAAATTTCTAGTTTTTCTTTCATAGGAATGCTCTTAGCAAGAAAAAATTTTCATATGGTGAGAGCAAAAATGACAACCATTTGCAAGTAAATGTCTTATGAAATTAAGTAGCAGATATCAAGCTCATGACCTTCAGATTGTTACCCCTAACTCAATCATTTACATAGCAAGTGCAGATAATTTTCATAGTTCCCCATTAAAATTATACTTTACTCCCCTTACAAATTGTGACTGTTTTTAAATAAAGTTCACTAACTAAAATTTTGTATATGACATATGATAAATTTCCCTTCAAGTCACCTTATATTTACTTAATTGTGTTAGCCAGTGTCTGTCTACCTCCCAACAATACTTTGGGATTCTCCCTCCATTTGCACAGGCATCATAGCTGGGGAACAGGGATTCAAAAGACCCAGGCTGTTCCCTACATATGTTTCCTCCTCAGACATCAGTTAATCAGTCAATCAAGTCAAGTGAGAGTGGAGGCCATGTATTCCCTCTTATTCTTGGGCACTCTCCTCCAAGGAGGAAAAGGCCAGGAGGTCCTGTTAGAGGATGCACTCTGAGAGCCCGGGCTCCCTAAGGTATGAGAGTTCTAACCAGCAGGTGTAGACTTTTCAGGAGTGAGGAATGAGGCAGGCATTCCAAACCTGGAGCTTCATCACCTTTTGTTTCATCTCAAGACAATTCTGAGGGGCTGTTTTGGAGCGTGTCTGGAAGGTGAACGTTGAAGAAGAGTGTGGGCTTTGATGTGACTCAGATGAGATCTTTCATGGGGAGGCAGGAATTCAATGCCCAGAATCTGGGCTGGTGTCTTTGAGGTCAGTAGGTTGCCTCTTTGTATCCAAGTCCATTGTTACTAAATTGGAGGCTGGAGATTCTAAATGGCTTCCAGACCATCTCTCTGATTCTCTTTGGGAGATTGGGTCTGAAAAAGACAATGTCAGTATTTTTGGGAAATTCTAGAAAGTCTGCTTGGAAACCTGGGAAGACCTCTTGCCTAGTGCCTAAATATTCAATGTGCAGCTCTAGCCATGTAGATGCTTGGTAGGTATAGAGCTGGGTTTTCATTTATATCAGCAAAACCTATGTCAGAGTTGAAGAAGTAGTCAAGACAAAGTGTCTTGGTCGCAGGCCGGGGAACATCTTAAAAGCAAACTTCTAGCCTGATGACTCTTGGCAATGAGTGTTGGGTCCTGGCTAAAGTGCCTTGAATGCAGCATGAGGCCAATCCATGAATCCAACTTCCAATGGAGAAATGTTAATATTTTTTCAGTTTGAATCAATCAGGGTGAAATTACCTTGCTATTGGTTTGCTTACTTTTTATTATTTCATATAAAATCTAAGACAAAATACATTAAATGCTTATTGATATATGTATTTATTCTTCACCTGGCTCATAATATTTGCCTAATTTTAAACTTTCTTCTATTTTGTAGGTTTCAACTTATTTCATTGTAAGATATTGTTAAATCTAATACGGGCATTGTCACTTTTACAAATAATTTTATTTTATTTCATGTATTTCCTATTCACTTTTTACATTTAAATTATGGACCATTTCATCATATAAAAAGCTCCATTTCTATTTTAAAAATAAGTCTTTGGGTTTTTTTGTCTTGTAATTTCCATATTACATAGTAATGAGATAAACGTTAATGTTTTCAGGGTATTTTAAATTTTAAATAATTACTCATTATATCCACGTGAAATTTGTTTTTACTGCATGTGTGAGTTGGAGAACCGTTTTCACTTCTGACTCATCTTTACTGTGATCTCCTCAGAACTCATACCTCTTGTAGTTGGGAGATTGCAGTATATAATTCCAATAAATGGGGCAAATTCAATAATAACATAATACAAATGAGTTTGAAAGCAGGACATGTCTTCAAAGCATACACAACATGGGCCTATATATGTACAACAATAATAATTTATAAGTTACAGTTTGGATGGGAATTAAAAGTACAGAAAATTTGTTAAAATAAATTAAAATGGAGATCACGTCTCAATAATCTCTGAGCAGACGAAATTAGTTAGGTCTCATAAGTGATCTCAACCTTGCTTGATTTGCAAATACAAGCAAAACTTAAATATTTCTTGTAGCTGCCTATTTAAAAAAGAGAAATGAAGCTCAACCAATCAGGAGTAGCCAACATCCTTATATAAATAGAAACTGTCCAACAAGATAAACAGACGAACAAAAAACAATAAAAAAGTTGTGCTACCACCAATCAAATGATTTTTTTGTTTCTACATTTTTTCAATAAATACTTGCTTCTTACTCTGTCAGAGAAGCACTAAATAACTTTTGGTCTGATATTTTATAATTTATCAATTGCTCTTACTCAAATAGACACTTGGCAATTTCATTGTGTCTCAAATTACTTTTTAGCAGAATAAAATAAACTAGGAATAAACATTACAAAAATGTGTACAGAATATGAGAAAAACATAGAAAGTTTATGAAATATATGAATGTAGACATAAGCAAATAGACAATTTGTATCATATTCTTAGGCAGCAAATCTCAATATTATCAACATCAATTGTCCTTAAGTTTATTTATAAATTCAATTTTGTTCCTATACAGATACCATTAAATATTGGAAGTACACGTTACTATAAAATATTATATAGATGAAAACACACATAAGAATAGACAAGAAAACTCTGAAAAAAAAGCAAAAAACAAGACTGGCAAGCTCTGTGAAAAATCTTGATTGATTAAAAACTCATATGTCACTGAAACTAAAAATTCAGAAATAGACCAAAGTGCCTAAGAAAGTGTCATAGTGCATCCAGGCTGCTATAACAAAATACCTCAGACTGGGTAAAGGATAAACAACAGAAATGTATTTTTCACAGTTATGGAGTCTGGAAAGTGCAAGATCAAGGCAGCAGAAAATTTAGTATATGTTGAGAGCCCTGTTCCCCATAGATGGTACCATCTTGCACACGGGACAAGGGCATTGCCTTCAACTTCCCTTGAAAGAGCACTGATTCCATTCATGAAGATGAAGAACTCTTGGCCTCACCACTTCCCCAAAGGCCACACGCCTAAAATTATCCACATAGGAATTTGCAAAGGGACATAAACATTCAGGCCATCACAACAAAAACTACATGGGGGATGGCATCATTAATACTTGAGGTGTAAAAATGTGATGTTCTTATCGCAAAGGAAATAAATGATTTATTCTTCATGGCATATAACAAAATAAAGGTCCAAAGAAAATATTTTTTATGAAGATAAATCTATATGGTAAAAAACTAAGTGTTGATAAGGTTAACCCTACAGGTTGCATCAGGATTTTCAAGGTTTCTGGTGATGAGCAAGGCCCCAGAGTTTCCTCCTGTGACATTTACCTGGAAGTTGCTCATGCTGTTATTCAATTTGAAAGTAGATAATATTGTTTGTTTCTGTTCCAATATTTACTAAATTCAAAATAATATAGGGCTCTTTATGCGTAATTGTCAAACAGTCATTCAGTCAATGGTCCTCTGCTGAGGAAGAGCACAGATACATCCAAACACATATGATGTTCCTCAAATAGAGGACTTCTCCCTGTGCGGGAGTCACCTATGTTGCACTTGATCAGAGGCTTTCCCAGGCGAGCATTTCTCTGCAGCCCTACCACAGACTTAACCCTGGAAATCTGACTCAGAAGGTGATAGATGAACACCCAACCTAGCATTCTAATCTAATGGATCCTCTCTTAATAATCCCTTCCAGGGATCTGGGAGCTTTCCTGGATTCGTCTGCCACACACAGCTAGGCTAAAACATTTGGATAGAAGCTTTGATCCTCACTGGCCCTCCTGCCCTGTTCTACCAGCTTCTCTAGAAGTATGCTTCTCTAATTGATCCTGAGAGACCCATCTAAGGCTATCTCTCTGTGCCAATATAATTGATCTCATAAAGTGGGAAGAGAAACAGGCAAGAGTCCAGCTATGCTAGAAGCTGTGTCTAGGGTTCCTTATCTGCTTTATGTCTCTGATTTACCTAAATATTGACAAATACAGATTAATCTCTAGGTAGTAGAAAAACAGAAGGAGAAATCGCAGTTCACAGAAGAAGAAGAAAATGCAATCAGTAATTCCTAGAGTCCCGCTTAAGCTCAGCCACAGGGTACTAAGTCTCTTCAGGAAAAAGCAATGGTTGTCCATCATCTGAAAAACTGTGGCGTTGAACCATGGGCACCGAGAGTGCACACTGCCCACTAGAGTTCCATGCCTACATCACAGAGAGATAGAATAGTCTCAAAGGATTCTTAAGAGTAACGTGGAGACCAAAAGGAGCTGAATCCACAGCCTCTGTCTTACCGTCTGTTCTAATAGTATTTCCAGACTCTTTTGTGGGCTGCACCAGGGGTTATTCAGAAAGAAAAAAAGTTGTTAATGTCCCACCATTCCCCGTAGCTTCCGAGGTCTAAGTTGTTCATTTCCCACGTTCCAGGTTGTTGTTCTCCCTCTATCTCCACAGAATCAGTGTGTCTCATTCCGATATCTATAATCTCACCTTTATTCTAGTCGCCCTTTACTTTTTTCTAGACATTTTGTGTAGTAGAGCCAGGTAAAACAGATACAAGAATATTTACATAAAACTTAACCAGAACTAAGTTGGAGTCCCATAACTGCTGCTAGGCTGGGATGCAACTCAGAGGATACAAAAGCCAGGCTGGTCTAGAATTGCAGGTATGGGAAAGAAAGACATTTCACCCAGGAATTATTAGCACGAAATTCCAAATTTGTGAAATAGATTCCTAGATCCCCCAAACATTTCATCCTTATCTTGGAGGCAATCTGGAAGAGATAATCCCCTTTCAGAGAAAAGCATACCTAATCAACGAATTATCTAACCAACATGTGTGGAAAAGGAGGGAACATCGTAGAGTTGGCCCATTTTAGTCGATGTGGTGAAAAATGCCACGAAGTCAGAGCTCAATTGGCCTCAAAAGCCTAAAAGGTGGCACAGATTAGCTTCAAGGGACACATGGTATGGCTGGAGTCAGATGACTGTTATGCTGAAGAAGTCAACAGTGGTGACTGATATCTCAAGAAGTGGGCTAAAAGTCCACTTCTGGTTACTCTGCTAGGTATGGTCTAGGAATTCTTCAACCATGAGACAGATAGGTCAACTTTCACCAGCAACCCCAAGTCTGGTTTGCAGTATTAGACTCTGGGTTGGACACAGATTTAGGTTCAATCTGCAGCTTGATTGTGGTCACTCTCTGGAAAACACTTACCATGGACTTCTAGATGAGTGACCCAGTTAGATCAGCATCTGGGGTTGTTTCCGGTTTGCAGCCCAAAAGATATTCAGACAGTCTACACTTTCCATTGTAGATAACCAAACAGATAGAATATGTGCCATTATCCCAAACCCTGAGTTCTGACCTTTGAGAGGAGCAACCACTCATGTCAGGTTCTGTATGGCTGGCACAGGTTAAACAGCCACAGCGGCCCAGTGGACATCATGAGGTTTCACCTTCCCTGACTCATCTATGAACCAGGACCAGTCATATAGGAAACACTCAGTAAATTGGGGGCCCCACAGAGACAGCAGCTTTGCTTCAGAGGATAGAAGGAGGCACAAAATTTCAACCAGCTGGGGATGCCCTAGCCCTCTATAGGTCAAACTTAGTTTGTCAGGAGTTCTGTAGCAAGCTCTTAGCTGACTTTCAAATCAGTGTAACCAGTAGTAGTGTCAAGATAGCTCTGAGTCCAAAAGGCCAAAGAACACCTCTAGGTGGAAGCTAATCCTTTACTGGAGGCTCCAAATTTTAAAATCAAGATTTTCTTGACCTCAGGATGAACTGATCAATGCAAATCTCCCCAAATATTTTCACTAATCCTTAATTGGAAAGTAAGACTCCAGATTTTTTAACCTTCACTAAAAATAAATATCTGATTTTTTTTCACCTGGGATCTATGTATGTGTGTTGGAGCATGCTTTTACTAATCAGCATAAAGTTACAACTCTCCTTGTGCCTCTATTTTCTACTTGTGCAGAGTTTAAAGTACACAGGTGACAGCTTAGGGTTTTCTGGGTCTTTTGCTAAGCATGTACCTGACCCTGAGCATCCCCATTTCCCCATTTCTTTGTTGATCTCAAAGACCATTATCACAGTCCTAATTCCCAGGAGCTTTTCCTCCTAGAGCTTTTTGGCATGATTATTCTTAGACCCAACTGATATCCTTTGTTCCTGGTGAACTGGTAGCTTATTTCCATTTAAATGCTTTTACAAACATTAAGCTATTGATTTAAGATTTCTGTGCTTTTTAAATTAAGTAATGCTACTGTTAGCTTTCCACAGCAATTCAGGGTTATAAAAAAGGGAAGAAAATAATTATTTTATACCAATAGTAGGAAAAAGAGACTGGGGATGACTATATTAATAGCAGACAAAATAGACTTAAAAAGTTACAAGAGACAATAAGACATTATATAATCATAGAACGTGCATTTGGCAAGAAGATAGAAATAGTTTAAACACTTACATACCTAATAATAAAACATTTAGATATAGAAAGACTAAGTTGACAGAATTAAAGGGACAAATAGACAGTTCTAAAATAATAGTTGAAGATGTTAATACTCCACTCTGAGTAATGAATAGAAAAATGAGATGAATGACAAATTAGGAAATAGAGGACTTGACTAACTCAATGAACTAAATTGATCTAACAGATATATACAATATACTCCATCCAACAAAACAGAGTACACACTCTTCTCAAATGCACATGGGGAATTCTCCAGGATGGGCTGTATAGTAGATCTCAAATTAAATCAATAACAGATGAAATGCTAGAAAGTTTACAAAATTGTATAAATTAAACAACTACACAATTACAACTTAAAGAATTACAAAATTGTATAAATTAAGTAAAGGAAGAAATCACGGAAGAAGTAGGAACATACAGAGGAAGAAAAATGAAAACAAAACATATCAAAAGTTATGGGAAACAGCAAAAACAGTGTTAAGATGAAAAGTTTGCAGCTAAGATACATTTAAAAAGAGCAAAGATTTCAAATAAATAATAACTTTATCACCTAGTAAATTAGAAAAATAACACCAAATTAGATGCAAAGCAAAGAGAAAGAAGAAAGTATTGAAGATTTTAGCAGAGATAAATGCAATAGAGATTACACAAACAACAGAATTCCAAAAAACCAAAAGTTCACTCTCAGTTCTTCAAAAAATTAACAATTGGCAAAACTTCAGCTACACACACGAAAAATTAACAGCATATTCACATACTAAAATGAGTAATGAAAGTGGGACATTACTACTAATTCAAAGAAATAAAATGTTTAAAAAAGTGTACTGTGAACTATGATAGGATGATAAATTGGAAAACCTAGATAAAGTGGGCAGATTCCTACTTATGCAAGACTTGATTACAAAGAAATACAAAATCTGAATAGATAGAAAACTACTAAGGAAATGGAATCAGTAATTAAAAACCTCTCATGAAGAAAAGCCCTTGTTTTGTTGGCTTCACTGGTGATGTAGATCAAGCATTTATAGAACAAAAATCCTTTCCAAAATCTACCAAAATCCTGAAGAGAGCAGTTCCAAACTTATTCCATGATGCCAGCATTAGCTCATACCAAAGCCAGACAAAGAGACTACAAAAACCCATAGACTAATATCCCTTATGAACACGGATGCAAAACTACTCAGCAACATCCTAGCTAACCACATTCAGCAGCATACTAGCAAGATTACACCCCATGACCAAGGGGAATTTATTACTGGAATGTAAGGAAGATTTAGCGTATGGCTGGTTTCAGTGCAATGGTGTTTACAACTAATTGATCACAACCAGAATAGATTTCTTTATTCTTTTTCCAGTCTCACTGGTTCACTTAGCTAGCCTTTCTTAACAAAAGTTTTAGCATATGAAAAATAATCAATGCATATGACACATTAACAAAATTTTTAGAAAACATTATCTCATTAATACAGAAAATGTATTTTACAAAATTCAAAATATTTTATAATAAAAACAATAAATTACGAATAAAAGAAAACCATCTTTGTAAAATTCACGTATAAAAACCCACAGCAAACTACATGTTCTAGAGGAAAAGACCAAAATTATTTCGTCTAAGCTCAGAAGACAGAATGTCTGCTCTTGCCAGCCACTTTTATTCAACACTGTATTAGAAGTTTCATTCAGAGAAATTAAAAAAGACAATGAAATAAACTTCATCAAAGTGTGTACAGAAAATATATTCTTTTATGTAGAAAATCTTAAAGATTCCACACAAAAAATATTAAAATTAATAAATTCAGCAGAGTAGTAGCATACAAAATCAACATAGAAAAATAAACTGTATTTTATGTAGTAATACGAATAATCTGAGAAGAAAATTATGAAAACAACTCAATTTACAATAGCATCAAAAGAATAAAATTAGGAAGTAACCAAGAAGCAAAATGCCAATTATTTTGTGTAGATATTAAAAAATCAATTTTTAAGTTTATGAGGAATCTCAAGGGACCCTAAATTGCAAAAATAATTTTGAAAAAAAAATACCAAAGTTAGAGAAGTCACACTTAATGATTTCAAAACTTACTACAAAATTCCAAAATAGCATGCTACAAATAGACTAATGGAGTAATATAGAAAGCCAATATAAATAAACCCTCATATATATGGTCAAATGATTTTTATGGGAAATGAACTGCCTTTACAACAGTTAGTGCTGGGGAAATTGGGTACCTACATGTAAAAGAGTGAAACTGTTCCCTTAACTTATACCATAAGAAAAAATTAACTAACTCGACAAAAACCTAAATGTAAGAGCTAAAACTACAAAATTCTTAGTATAAAATGTAGGTAAAACATGTCATAACGCTGGATTTCGCAGTGATTTTTTTTAACAGGACACAAAAAATGCAAGAAACAAAAGAAAAATAAAGAGGACTCTATCCAGAATATACAAAGAACAATTCAGCAATAATAAAACAAAATACTTGTTTAAAATATGGGCAAAATACTTAAACAGACATTTCTTTAAAAATTATGTGAAATGGCTAATAAGTCCATGAAAAGGTGCTCAACAAAACTAATCATTATTAAAATGCAAATATAACTCCAAATGATATATCACTTAATACACATCAGCATAGTTACTACCAAAAGAAACAAAACAAAACAGAAAATCACAAGTGTTGGTGAGGACGTGGAGCAATTAGAACCCTTGTACACTGTTGTTGGAAATGTAAAATGTTGCAGCTGCTATAAAATAACAGTATAATAACTAAAAAATGTACACCAAAAGTCACCATATGATCCCACAATTTCACATCTGGGTATGTAGCAAAAGATGTGAAAGCAAAGACACAAAATAATACACGTACACCTAGGCTCATGGCAGCATTACTCACATCACCCAAAAGGTTTGTGAATTACCCGTGTTGTTTGAATTATCATCAATGAATAAATAAATAAAATGTGATTTATACATATATTGGAACGTTATTCAGTTATGTAAAATAAGAAAATTCTGACACATGGTACGTTATGCATGAACCTTAAGGACATTGTGCAAAGTGACATAAGCCAGTCATAAAAGGACAAATACTGTATCATTCCACTTATGAGATACTTAGAGTAGTTAAATTCTAGAAATCCAAGTAGAAGAGTGGTTCCTAGGAGCTGGAGGGGGAGTAACAGGGAGCTGTTATTTAATGTGCATTAAATTTTGGTTTTGGAAGTTGAAAGAAGGTCCCTATGAATGAGAATAATAGTTGCAAAACAATGTGAGTGTAGTTAATTTTTCTGAGCTGCACACTTAAAATAGCTAAAATGGTTAATTTTATGTATACTTTGCCACAATATAAAAAATATTTTTTAAATAAACAAACTATAGCTATCTGCAATAGGATGAATTAATATCATAAATATAAAGTTGCATAGAAGAAAGTAGATGTAAAAGTATACATGTTGTACAATTTCACTTATATAAAATCCAGAAAGTGAACACAACTGAGGTTCTGGCTTCCAGTAATAATGAAGTAGAGTAGATTGTTCAATAACTGTTTCACATATACTATAATAAAGTTTAATAAAATACTATATTTTGCTATATAGAAACGCACACTGTTTAGAAGAACTGAATGAAGATTTTAGTATTGCCACTGTAGAAGAGATAAGGATTGGGGTTTGCATCTATTCAAATTAACTCCCTCATAAAATAATAATTTTCAAAGAAATACAACAGAAGCCAGAGTCCCTGTAATTCCTATCACACAATTTAAAAATTTATGAGATGCGTGAAGAAGGATGAAAATGTAATCGATTCACAAGATAAAAAGCAGACAATAGAACCTATTCTCAAGATGTGCAAGATGCTGTAATCGGTAGGTAAGATTTGAAAGAAGCTATGGTAAGTATGTTCATGGGGTTAAAGGAAAACAGTCTCATGACAAGTGAACAGATGTGTAACTGTGCACTCCCAGTCCTTTGGTCACAGGGCTGCAGGACTAAGGAAGGAAATTAAAGAAAAATGAAATTAAAAGGAAAGAGAAATAAGTTTTCTTGTATTAGGCTGATTTGTCCCAGAGGCAGCAATAGGCACAGCCCAGACCCAGGAAAATTCTTGATAATATTATGTAATGTGCTCTGGAGGTTCTCCCAACACTCCCCCAACACAGGGAAAAGAAAAACAAATTCCCTTTGTTTTATGGAATGAGTTTATAGATTCTTGTTCTCTGTAACTAGTGACTTCAAGTATTGTGTTTTATCGAAGAAGTACAATGAAAGTCATGAGAAGCCTGAGTAGGCTGAACTACAGCTGTTTGGGCACCATAGTGAGGGTTATAGGATAAGCCCATGCCCAGGGAAACCTAGATAATGGACATGTGGGTTGCTTGGCAACGGTCATGTGCAATCCTGTCTTTGTCCTGCCTCTGTATTCCTGCTTTCACGCCACTGTAAGCTCGCTTCAAGCTAGCCCACCCCCTTTTGTGAAGTGTGTATAAAAGTCAGGTGTTGTCTGTGTTCCGGGCCCGGTCTTTTTGACGTGAGTCAGCTGGTCCTGAGTGCACTCAATAAAGATTCTCCTGTTTCAACCTGAGGTCTGTCTCGTCCTCCTGAATCCCGCAACAGGAGAATTCCAGTATGCACCATGTTCAGGGAACAGTGCGCGTCACTGAAGGAAAAGTGGGGCGGGAGGGGGTGGTGCATGGCTGTGAGAGCCTCTTGGGCTTGCTGGGAGATGTAGTCTTATAAAGACTCCCAGCCCCTTTGTCACAGGGCTGCAGCACCACAATCCCAGCATACAACGGAATCAGGGACAGTGCGCGTCGCTAGAAGAAGAGGTAGAGCTGTGCATAACTCGCTGGGCTTGCTGGAAAATGTAATCTCATGAACACTCCTTAGTGAACAGTGAGCGTCACTGGAGGAAAAGGCGGGGCTGTGCAGGCCTTGCTTTAGTTGCTGAGAGATGCGGTCTCATAAACACTCCCAGCCCTTTGGTCACAGGGCTGAAGGACTACATTTCCATCATGCACCGGGATCAGGGATAGTGCGTGTGCCTGGATGAAGAGGCAAAGCTTTGTGTGCCTCCTTTGGCTTGCTGGGAGATGTAGTTTCATAAAGTCACCAGACCTTTCATTACAGGGCCGCAGAACTACAATCCCAGTATGCACCAAGATCAAGGATAGTGCGCGTTACTGGAGGATGAGGAGGGATTGTACACGTCTCGCTGGGCTTGGTGGGATATGTATTCTCATAAATACTCCCAAACCTTTGGTCACAGGGCTGCAGGACTACACTCCCAGCCAGCACCGGGTTCAAGGAAATTGCGCGTCACTGGAGGAAGAGGCGGGGTTGTTTGTTACTCGCTGGGCTTGCTGGGAGATGTATTCTCATAAATCCTCGCAGCCCTATCGTCACAGGGCTGAAGGACTACACTTCCAGCCCCAGCATGCACTGGGCTCAGGGACAGCACACGTCACTGGAGGAAGAGGGAGGGCTGTGCGCTTCTCACTCTGCTTTTTTGGGAGATGTAGTCTCATTAACACTCCTAGCCCTTTGGTCATAGATCGCCAAGGACTGCAATCCCAGCATGCACCCAGCTCAGGGACAGTGCGCTAGTCACTGCAGGAAGAGGCAGGGCTGTGTGCACCTCCTGGGAGTACTGGGAGATGTATTCTCATAAACACTCCCAGCTCTTTGCTCACAGGGCTGCAGGAATACATTCCTAGTATGCACCCAGCTCAGTGACAGTGCGCTAGTCTAAGGAGAAAGAGGCCGGGCAGTGTGCGCCTTGCTGGGTTTCCTGAGAGTTGTAGTCTCATGGCCTCTCCCTGTCCTTTGGTCACGGTGCTATAAGACTACAATCCCAGCATGCTTGGGGCTCACGGACAGTCTACATCACTGGAGAATGAGGGGAAGGTTGTGTGCACCTCGCTGCACTTGCTAGGAAATGTAGTTTCATAAAGACTCTGAGACCTTTTGTCACGGGACTGCAGGACTCCAATCCCAGAATGCATCAGGATCAAAAACAGCATGCGTCACTGGGAAAAGATGTGGGGCTGTGTGCGTCTCCCTAGGTTTTCTCGGAGATGTAGTCTCGTGTCCTCTCCCTACCCTTGGCTCACAGTGCTATAAGACTACAATCCCAGCATGCTTGGGGCTCACGGACATTCCCCTTCACTGGATAAGGATGGGAAGGTTCTGCGCACCTCGCTGCGCTTCTTGGGAAATGTAGTTTCATAAAGCCTCTCAGACCTTTTGTCATAGGGCTGCAGGACTACAATCCCAGTATGTATCAGGATCAAAAACAGTATGCGTCACTGGGAAAAGATGTGGGGCTGTGTGCCTCTCCCTACGTTTTCTGGGAGATGTAGTCTCATAAACACTCTTGGCCCTTTGGTCACAGGGCTGCAGGACTACAATCCCAGCATGCAGCGAGTTCAGGGACTGTGTGTGTGTGTGTGTGTGTGTGTGTGTGTGTGTGTGTCCCTGGAGGAAGACGTGGAGCTGTGCGTGCCTCGCTGGGCTTGCTGGGAGATGCATTCTGATAACCAATCCCAGCCCTTTCATCACATAGCTGTAGGACTACAATTCCAGCATGCACGGGGCACCGGGACAGTTCGCCTCAATGGAGGAAGAGAAAGGGGTACATGCGTCTCGCTGGGCTTTCTGGGAGATGTAGTCTCATTATTTCTCCCAGCCCTTTTGTCACAGGGCTTCAGGACTACAATCCCAGCATGCACCGTGCTCAGGGAGAGCGCGCCTCAGTGGAGGAAGAAGTGGACCTGTGCTCTTCTCGCTATGCTTTTTCGGAGATGTATTCTCACACACTCTTAGCCCTTTGGTCACTGGGCTGCCCTTTGGTCACAGGGCTGCAGCACTACAATCCTAGCATGCATGGGACTGAGGGAGCATGCGCTAATCAGTGGAGGAAGGGGCGAGGCTCTGCACGCCTCTCTGGGCTTGGTGGAAGATGCAGTCTCATAAACACTCACAGCCCTTTTGTCACAGGGCTGCAGCGCTACAATCCTAGCATGCACCGGGCTCAGGGAAAGTTGGCGTCACTGGAGAAAGAGGCAGGGTTGTGTGCACCTCCTGGGCTTGGTAGGAGATGTAGTCTCATAAACACTCCCAGACCTTTCATCACCGGGCTGCAGGACTACAATCCCAGCATGCACCCAGCTCAGGGACAGTGCGCATTACTGGAGGAAAAGGCTAGGCTGTGGACCCCTCCTTCTGCTTCCTGGGAGAGGTAGTTTCATGGAGACTCCCAGAACTTTCATCACAGGGATGCAGGACTACCATCCCAGTATGCACTGGGGTCAGGGACAGTCCGCGTCAGTGGAAAAAGAGGCGGGGCTGTGTGCGTCTTCCTAGGCTTGCTGGGAGATATATGCTCATAAACACTCCCAGCCCTTTGGTCGCAGAGCTTCAGGACTACAATCTTAGCATGCACCTGTCTCAGGGACAATGCGTATCACTGGGGGAAGAGGCGGGGCTGTGTGCTCCTCCCTAGGATTGCTGGGAGTTGTATTCTCATAAACACTCCCAGCCCTTTGGTCAAATGGCTACAGGACTACAATCCCAGCATGCGCCAGTCTCCGGGGTAAGGCATAGCCCTGGAAGAAGGGGCAAAGTTGTACATGCCCCACCTAATATGCTGGGAGCTGTAGTCCGTTAACTGCTCTCAGCCTATTTGTCGGTGGGCTTCAGAACCATAATCTCAGCATATACCGGGATCCGGGGTGCATAGACCTGGAGGGAGGGACAGAGCGGTGTGGACTTCCCAGTGTCCAAAGCATTGCTGAGTTCTTATGCTATGCCGACTCTTTGCCACAGAGAGTGAGTACAGAGGTGGACCTGGAGGACAGGTCTGGGCTGAGCATTGAGGAGGGTATTACCCTATGTAGGCACCTTACCTTTGCCCAAATCAGGCGGGTTATCCTCACCCGATTGGCCCTATGCTTCTCAGGTTCCTCTTTCAGCTGCACCCAGGGTTCCTTCCAGAGCATTGCACCTTCTGCAGCTCAGGGCACTGCCTTTTTTCCTAAACTACTGTGGAAACTGTCCTGATGTCTGAGACACTGTCCATTGTGCAGCAGCCCTCTTTTTTCTCTAGCCAGAGCGCGTGCTCAATGGCTTTTGAGAGAAATCTTCCACATGGCCTGCTTGTGAACAGCTTCAGAGCTCTGCAGGGGCTGACAAGGGCTGAGCCTTCCTGGAAACGTCACTCTCAATGGCGCCTTTTTCACGAATGTGAAAGTCGAGGCATCAGGAAGTTAGTTTAATGGGTTGCAGAAAATCTAAGAGCAAGGGAGAAAACCCGCTTTCCAAGGCGTGAGTTTTGTGAGCCATTTTCATCAACCCATTTAAGTGGACAAGCTCCAAAATGTAACCTGAAGCTGCTGACTATTTAGGCATTTTACAATTAAAATCATCGGTCTCATCCCAAGTCGTGCCTCACTTGCCAGTGTCTCAGAGACACAAATGGGACCTGATCCCTCAGGAACAGATAGTGTTCCAGGTTCGTGGGAGCGACTTTTAAGTTGTGGAGCACTTGGGGTCGTTTGAAACCCACTATCTTCAGTAGGGACTTTTACGTCTAGAGAGCATGTGCATTTTGATTTTATCTGTCTTCAAGCTGAACCTTTGCTCATTTTAACAAGTAAAAACACATTCCTGGGTGAAATGTCATTGCATGCTAATGAGACATGAAACATATGCAAAAATATGTACAGCTACTGCACATGTGCACCCAGAAGACCAGTCAAAGCATGCCTTCTATAACACTTCTTTCCACCTTCTTATGAATAATCATGTAAAACTCCCAGAAGGAGGGTTTCTCCAGCAACAATTAATGCTGTCTCACTCTTATGAGCAGGCTGCCCTGGAATCTCTTTCTCAGACTGTACCGTCTATTCTGCACTTGATTTTCAACGTATTCTTTTCTTTTTTGTGTGCAATAAATTACTCTATGCTGTACTTCTTTTGCTGCATGTTTCCTGTTTAAATTCTTTTAAGCTAAGAAGATAAGAACCAAGGTATTACATCAGCCATCAACATTTCTTTTGCCATGGCCCGGAGAGAGGTTTGTCTGCTTCATTAATTTCAGTTTCCCTTTTCTTGCAGTGAATACTATGGCACTTCCAGACTACCTGGTTAACTATCGCTGGTTGTTCCAGCGCTGTTTCACTAAAGTTCTGGGGGAAACGTGTTTAAATCACCTATATTCTCTAGAGAGAGAATATATGTCTGCTCTCCTTTTGGCTGCTGCATCTGTACTATCCATAAATGACACTCACCGCATGGGTTGCTCTCAACATTTCATATTCGGGCTAGTTTGCTGCTTAGTTTCACATCTTTCTGGCCACACTTCAGACTCAGCTTATCGTTTGCTGTCCCTTCGGCAATACTCGATCGCCACCTAGTGGCTATTGTACTTTATTTTCTGATCGGGTTTTCTGTTTACAGTTTTGTCTTGTTTTGTTTTGAGTGGAATATTAAGAGAACCCTGTCCCTTCAGGCTTTATGCATTTCCCACCTCCTTGAAATTGTTCTTCAACAGGTTTTCTTTGCTGAACAAACGACTCAAAGTCATGTAGATGCCCGGTCGTGGGGTTTGAATCTGAGCATTGCAGGTGTCATAATTCGGCATCATAAATTGCAAACCAGTAAATTAGGGAAAGGCTTGTCAGCCAGACATCTGCCCCCCAGCCAGCAGTGGGGGTCATCTCGGCACGGCTGGAGATGTGCAGCGCTTGTGAGAGATAGGACGGTGTATGGCACATGCCTATGACCTCCTAGAGCTTCAGTTAATGGGGTCTCGAGGGGCTGTGCTGGACACCTTGGTGGTTCCACTTGTCCCATTGTGATGCCCATGGCCTCCTGGACTTTAGTACATGTTCTGACGTTGCAAGATTCCGTCGGCACCATGGGAGCCGCTTCCTCTACTGTCATTGAAACACCCCTGGGATGTATATTTAAAAATTGAAACAGCTTTTGGCTAGATGAACCAAAAAAAAAAAAGAAAAGAAAAAACTTATCTTCTTTTGTAATACTATTTAGCTTGCATACAGATTAGCTCACAAAACATGGCTGGGGAATGAGACTGTGAACTTTAACACCCTCCTACAGCTAGATCTTTTCTGTAGAAATCAGGGAAAATGGTCTGAAATATCCTATGTGCAAACCTTTATGGCCTGACAACAAAACCCAGCTCTATGCAGCACCTGTGGGCTAAAGCCTAGTAAGCCACAAAGCCCCTCAGAAGCATTAGAAGATCATCTCTTATTAAGGGGAAGGGACCCCAGACCCAACAGCCCAACACCAGCTCCAGATAGGGACTCTCAAGGGCCTACACCTCCTGTAGAATCCGCAGCATCCCCACACTATCAGAGTCTTCTGTAGAATCTAAGCTTGTTTCACCTCCTCCTTATGCTCCTCTCTATCAGCCTTTGCCAGGTACAATAGTGAGCAGCCCAGCTGTAGTTACTCGCGGTGGAACTTCACACCATGCAGGGCCAGAGAATTTGATCCGCTTACAGAAAGTCCCAAATGGAGAGAGGACCATCAGAGTGCTTGTTCTCTTCTCAATAAATGATCTAATCCAATGCACGCAACAGCTCTGATGGCTCCCAAAGAACTTCAGCGCATTTACTGAAGCCTTCCAGGCTCTAACTTTGACCACCATTCAACTTCACCATCCATAAATGGACCCAATGACTGCTGACCACGTAGCTGCAGAAAACTTTTGCTTATTGGCAAAAAATAGAAAAGACTTAAAACTTTTGCTGCTTTCACCATTTCAATGCAGAATTCCTTTGCAGCACAAATGTCACCATAAGGTGGAGCCTTGGGAATCCAGTATAAACTATCTCAGAAAATCTCAGTGTGTCCCCAACAGGCAGCAGAGGGCCTCAATAGACTTCAACAACATCTGGACTCCATGGCCACTGTAGTCCGACAAAACCAAGGAGCCTGGGATCTTCTCCCAGCCGGGTAAAGAGGAACATGTTTATATCTAAAAGAAGAATGCTGTTTTTGAGATCAATCAGTCTGGTTTAGTCGAAGAAAATATTAATAATATCATCACCCAGGCAGACAAAATTGAATCTCTAGGAACTTCCATGGGAACATGAAAGCTATGTCCGTTGTCTGCCTTGCTCTCTTTAATAGTACCCGTCATTATTATATTTTCAACTTTTACTTTTGTTCCAATTTTGTTTAAAATGTTAACTGATTTCTTGCTCTCTTGCTTACGGCAACTCCATGTTTGCATGATGGTTTTGCAAGGCTTTCAACCTTTGGTTGCCAGCATCTTCCCACTGGTTCCACGAACGACATGGTTTACACCCTGTTAGATCACACAGGAAGAAACTTTAAGGCCCAGGCTAGGCAGAAGTAACACCCGCTCAGCAGGAAACAGCTCCAGAAATAATGGCCTAACCCCTCAACCTCCAATATGATTATTGCCCTAAAATCTCTTAGGGGGAAATTGAGGCAGAATAGATAGTACAGAAAATGACCATGATCTCAGGATACAGAAACCATGGTGACTGTACAGCCAACACAATAAGCCGTAGCATTCGCATTGTAATTGGGCTTATTCAAGCAAAGTTATCCTCATTAAGGACTTTCTGTTCTAGAAAGCATGTGCATTTTGATTTCACCTGTCCTCAAACTTAACTTTCGCTTATTTTAATAGCAAAAAATATAGGCCCTAGCCAGGCAAGGTGGCTCATAACTGTACTCCCAGCACTTTGGGAGGCTGAGGAAGATGGATCACTTCAAACCAGAAGCTTGAGACTAGACTGGCCAACATAGTGAAATCTCGTCTCAACTAAAAATACAAAAATTAGCAGGGTATGGTGGTGCATGCCTGTAATCCCAGATACTCTGGAGGCAGAGGCATGAGCATGGCTTGAACTCAGGAGGCGGAGGTTGCAGTGAGCAGAGATCACACCACTGCACTCCAGCCTGGGTAACACGGGGAGACTCTGTCTCAAACAAACAAACAAACAGAAATACACTCCTGGGTGGAGATCTAAGATGCTAACGAGACATGCAACATATGAACAAGCATGTATAGTCACTGCGTATGTGCACCCAGAATATCACTCAGAACATGCTTATAAGCAACTCCTCTTCCCTCCACCTTATTAATAATAATGTAAAACTCCCGTAAGGGGGTTTCTCCAGCGACAGTCCACGCTGTCTCACTCTTACGAGCAGCCCGCCCTGGAGTATCTCTCTCAGGGTGTACTGTAATCTGCACTTAACTTTCAAGTATTTTCTTTTCCAATAAATTATGCTGTACTTTTTTTCCTTGTGTCTCTTGTTTAAATTCTTAAAAACTAAGAAGACAAGAACAGAGGTATCACATCACTTGTCAACACAGCAATAAGTCAGCCTCCTTCTTGTAAGCATAGCCCATGCAGAAAAGGAGAGTCGCATCACCTAGGTGCTGGATCCAGAGATATGTCACAACTTATCCCAGGCACCAAGTTAAGGTCATTGAAGATAGTCGTGTTAAATAGTTTCTGGCCCCAGGGATATGTCACAATGGCTCCTGTGAGCAGAGATCAGGCAGCATAATCACATAACCGGTGTGCTGGACACAGCGATAAGCCACTCTTTCATCTGTGGGCATGACCCGGGCAAGAAAGAAGAGCCACAGCATTTAGGTGCTTGCTGCAGAGGTACGTAACAATCTCTCTTATGGGCAAAACTCGGGTAAGAGAGGAGAGTCAAATCTCCAAGGTGATTCATGTAGAAATTTGTCACAAGAAACTTTTTAGGCAGGGCCCATGTTGGATCTTCTTATCTTCCAGAAGTTAGGTCCAGGGATACGTCAGAATACCCAAAATACACAGGGCTCAGTCAATAAAGGAGAGTCACATCACCCAGGTGCTTTGTCTAGACATATGTCACATCTCTTTTATGGGGAAAGCTCAGGTAAAAAAGGAAGGTCACATCAAATAGTTGATAGACCCAGAGATATGTCACTTTGCCTCCTGCTTGAAGTGTCTAGGCCAAAGACTCACATCACCTCAGTGTTAGGCCCGTGTTCATATATAAACATTCAACCAGAGTTGAAATGGTGGCCCACATCTAAACTCAGCTCATAGGCAAGGGAGGACTCTCCTATCCTGACCTAGTTAATTGTAATGATGTTGACTCTCATACCGGGCTTAATGCTACAAGTACGATCATGGGTCCCTACCATTAGGAAGGTGTCAAAGTTGATTACGACTCTCATGCATAGAGTATAGGGCCATTGGGTAGTACACAGAGCGTGCTAACTGGGCCGAGCACACAGGTGAGATTGTGACACTCATATGCACACCCAGCCAACAGTAACTATTGTCATCCTCTCACGGGAACACAGGTCAGTCTGCAGAGGAATTGAGACTCTCATGCACAAATCCAGTCTGGTGTTGAGAGGGTTATTCGTGAGCTTAGACCCAACATACAGGAGGTGTTGAATGTCATGCCTACAACTGAGACAGTTGTGGGATTGTTAATCTAATTCCTGGACCATTCTGCAGCTTTCATGGTGAAATTTGCCGGTGCCTAGCACCTGAGTGACTTGATGGTCTCACATGGACCCAGCCCACAGATGGGATATTAACATATTGCTGGATCCAGCACATTGAGGGTGTAACTCTATTCTCCTTCCTTGGCACTGCCCACAGTGAGCATTTTGACATATCGCTAGACCTTGCACCCGGAGATGTGAGTCTCCTCTTCTGCCTTGGCGCTGCCCTCAGGAAGCATTGTTATATATAGCTTGGCCTCGCATCCAGGTTATGTGACTCTCCGGCTTGTGCATTGCCCATATGGGACACTGTGTTATATTGCTGGGTCCACTACTCAGGCTATGTAACCCAACAGCCTGGGCCCTGCCTTACAGGGGCATTGTGACATATCTCTGTGCTCATCAGCCTGGTAATGTGATTCTCTTCTCCTGCCTGGTCCCTTTACACAGAAGGGATTGTGACACGTTGCTGGGCTTAGCACCAAGTTGATGATGTGAATCTTCTGCCTGGATCGAGTTCACAGAAGGCATCGTGACATACCTCTGGGTCCATCATCTATTTGATGCAACTCTCCTCTCTTACCTGAGCATTGCCCATAAGACAGATTGTGACATAACCCTGGGTCTAGCACCGGGATGATGTGACTCCTCTCCTTGCCTGGGGCATGCCCACAGAAGGAAGTGTGACTTATAACTGGGAACAGCACAGGGGTGATGTGATTCTTCTGCCTGGTCCCTACCTACAGGAGTCATTGTCAAATGCCTCTGGGCCCATCATCTAGACTATGTGACTCTCTACTTCTTCCTATGGCCGGCTCACATAAGGATTGTGACATATTACTTTGCCCAGTACCTACATCATGTGACTTTTCTCTCATATCTGGGCTCCGTCTTGGAGATGAATGTGACACATAGCTAGGCCTAGCCCCTAGGTTCTGTAACTTCTCTTTTTTCAAAATCCTACCCACCAGGGTCATTGAAACATCTCTCTGGGCACTTCACTTAGGTAATGTTATCCTGTTGCCTGGAGCCTCCCCTCTGGGGGGTATGGTGACATATTGCTGGACACAGTACCTATGTGATATTCTCTCCTTTCTTGCCTGGGCCTTGTATACATTGTGTATTATAATATATGGCTGGGTTCAATGACTAGGTGTTGCAACTCTCATGCATAGGTCCTACCCGCAGGGACATTATGACATTTCTTTAGCTCTGACTCTCCTCTTTTTCCTTAGCCCTGCCAAAAAGGGAGGTGGTGACATATAACTGGACCTAGCAACCAGCTAATATGAGTCTCCTCTTTTGCCTGCACCAGCATATTTTAGGTGTTGTATCATATCCTTTGTCTCAACACCTGCAGGATGAAAGGCTCCTGCCTGAGCCCAGCCATCTGTCAAAATTGTCATTCTCCCACACGAACATGGAACATAAATGAGGTCTGAAACTCACACCCAGAGGCAGTGAAAAGTTGGAAAATTGGCTCTAATAAGTGGATGTTGTCCTTAAGTGGGTTTGTGACTCCCTGACCAAGATCCAAACACTTGTGAGGCTGTGAGTCCACTAAGATAACTCCGTTTTTCAAAGGGATTAAGGCTCTCATGGAAAAAACCCATTCTCCATTGAGATTGTGACTTATGCACATAGATGCAACATACAGGAGGCGTTCACTCTCATATCCAGAACTGGCACTTATGAGGATTGTTAATCTCATCCATGGACCTTCTGCAGGTGTGATTCTGACGTACACCTCTAGCCAGCTCCTGAGTGATTTGACTTTTTTGCCTGGTGTAGCCCACAGATGAGATTGTGATATATCCTTGAATCCAGCATCTAATTAATATGCTTCTAATCTCCTGTCTTGGCACTGCCATAAAGGGTATCCTGACCTAACACTGGTCCTGGCACTTTGTTATATGACTGTGTCCTGTGCTTTGCCACATGAGCCATTGTGACATATTGCTGGGTCCAACACCCAGGTGATGTAACTCTTGTCTAGACTTTACCTACATGGGGTCATTGTGACATATCTGTGCACTGTTCACCCAGGTGATGGGACTCTCTTGTCCTGTCTGGTGCCTGTTCACAGCTGGGATTCTTACACATCGCTGGGGACAGACTCTAACTAATGTGACTGTCTTTTTACTGAGGACTACCCACAGGAGGAATTGGAAATATCTATGGGCCTCTCACTTAAATGATGTGACTCTTTTCCTGGGCTCATTTCTCAGGGTTATTGTGACATATGGCTGACCTCAGCATGGAGGTGATGTGAGTTTCTTCTACTGCTAGGGCTCTGACCAAAGACAGATTACAATGTATCATCGGGCCCAGCACCTGGGTGATTTGACTCTCCCCTCTTGGCTGGGCCCTGCATATATTGTGTATTGTGACATATCACTGGGTCCAACACCTAGGTAATGTGACTTACCTGCATGGCCCATTTCCACCTGGGTATTATGACATATCTTTTTGTTCATCACTTAGGTGATGCAACTCTCCTCTTTGCCTTGGGCCCTGCATAATTTAGCTATTGTGTTGTATCACTGGGCCAATCGCCTAGACAATAGGAATCTTCTGCCAAGGCCCTGACTACTGGGGACCTTGTGACATAGCTCTGCATTTATCACCTAGAAAATGTGATTCCCCATTTCTGCCTGAGCCCTGCTCACAAGAAAAACTGTAGCATATTTCTGGGCCCAGCAAACAGGTGATGTGTTTCTCCTGCCTGTGCCTTGCTCACAGGGAAAATTGTGACATATCGCTGGACCCAGAACCCAGGTGAGGTGACTCTGCTGCATGTGTCATGCTTTCAGGAGGGAACAAGAACATATCCCTGGCAGAATACCTAGGGATGTGACTTTCTTGCCTTGTCCCTGTCCTCAGGGGAGAATGTGACGTATCCCTGACAATGACCCAGGTGATGAGACCCTCCTGCTTGCTGACTACTCAAATGTGAGATTGTCACATATATTTTGGCCTAACATGTAGGTGTGATGATGACATTCATACCTTAAACCAACCAATAGGAGAGATACTTTGTCTCATATCCAGGCTTTACAAAATGTGCAAAATTATGGGTCTTCTCTTACTATGAAGGTCAGAGAAAATAAGCACTCTTGCATATCCTGTAAAGCACTCAGATGGTACAGTGTCATCACAGGGCCCAGAACACAGGTGAGATTGTGTTCTCTGTGTGCACACCCACCAATCATCAGAATTGTCATTCCTACACAGGAACAGAGGTGATTAGGGAGGTCTAAATCTCATACCTGAGTGCCGTCCACAGCTGGAATTGTAACTACCACATGTGAACATCCAGTCACAGTTGGGATAGTGACTTATTTCTGAACCCAGTTTACAGCCAAGTAAAGATCCTCTTATCTGAATCCAGCCAGCTGGAGAGATGTTGACTCTCATACCTGGGCTTATGGCCACAGGTATGATCATAGGTTCATATCAGCATGAAGACCTCAGAGTGGATTATGTTTAATGCATACTCTACAAAGCCCATAGGAGGTACATAGTGTCCTAACAGGGCCCAGCAAACAGGTGAGATTCTAACACTCATGCACACTCTGGTGACAATAAAAGTTATCCTCAAAAATGAGCACAACCGGCCGGGTGCGGTGGATCAGGCCTGTAATCGCAGCACTTTGGGAGGCCGAGGCGGGTGGATCACGAGGTCAGGAGATCAAGACCATCCTGGCCAACGTGGTGAAACCCCGCCTCTCTACTATTTATTTATTATTATTATTTTGAGACAGAATCTTGCTCTGTCACCCAGACTGGAGTGCAGTGGCACCATCTAGTCTTACTGTAACCTCCGCCTCCCAGGTTCAAACAATTCTCTTGTCTCAGCTTCCCGAGTAGCTGGGACTACAGGCTCATGTCACCATGCCCAGTTAATTTTTATATTTTTGGTAGAGACGGGGTTTCACCATATTGATTAGACTGGTGTCAAACTCCTGACTTCAAGTGATCCACCCACTTCGACCTCTCAAAGTTCTGGGATTACGGGCATGGAACACTGTGCCTGGCAACCCCATCTCTACTAAAAATACAAAAATTAGCTGGGCATGGTGGCATGTACCTGCAATCCCAGCTACTCAGGAAGCTGAGGCAGGAGAGTCGCTTGAACCCAGGAGGCAGAGGTTGCAGAGAACCGAGATCGTCCCACTGCACTCCAGCCTGGCAATAGAGTGAGACTCCATCTCAAGGGAGAAAAAAAAAAAAAAGAAAGCAAAGAAGAAAGAAAGAAAGAAAGAAAGACAGAAAGAAAGAAAGAGAGAAAGAAAGAAAAAGAGAAAGAAAGAAGGAAGGAAAAGAAAGGGAGAAAGAAAAGAAAAGAAAAGAAAGAAAGAAAGAAAGAAAGAAAGAAAGAAGGAAAGAAAGAAAGAAAGAAAGAAAGAGAAAGAAAAAAAAGAAAATTGACTCTCATATATGGATCTTGTCCACAGGTAGGTGGGTGACTCTCAAACCAAAATTCATTACATCTGTGAGACTGTAACTCTCCTAAGGGGACACGGTCAGCCAGAGAAGACACATTTATGAATCCAGTTCACTGTTGAGATTGAGACTGGTGTACTTAGGCCCAACATGCAAATTCTCATACCTGGAATCCGGACATGTGTGGAGTTGTTCATCTCATCCCTGTCGCTTTCTGCAGGTGGGATTGTGACATACATCTCTGCCCAGCTCCCGAGTATTTTAGCTCTGTTTCCTGTGCCCAGCTCACAGATGGGATTCTGATATATCACTGAAGCCAGCACCTAGGTTATGTGACTCTTACCTCCTGCCTTGGTGCTGCCCACAGGGGACATTGGGACATATCACTTGGCCTTGCACCTAGGTAATGTAAGTTTTCTGTCTTGCATTAGTGCTACTCACCGGGGCGTTGTGATGTATTGCTGGGTCTCACATCCATGTTATGTGACTCTTCTGCCGGTGCCCAGGCCACAATGGCCATTGTGACATACTGTTGCATACAAAACCTAGATGATCTACCTCTCCTTCCTGAGCTTTGCCTAAGGGGACATTGTGAAATATCTATGAGCCCATCACCCATGTGGTGTGATTTTCTTCTCCTGCCTAGTCCCTGCTTAAAGAAAGGATTGTGACATATCACTGTGCCCAGCACCTACCTCATGTTACTCTTCTTTTGTTTTTTAGGATTTGTTTGGAAGGAGATTGTGATACATTGGTGGGTCCAACTTCGAGGTGACATTACTCTGTTGACTTTGCCCTGCAAGCAGAAAGCACTGTGACACATTATTAGGCCCATCTCCTGCCTGAAGCCTGCCTACAGCAATTTGTAACATATGGCATTGGGACATATCTCTGAGCCCATCAACTATTTGATAAAACTCTTCTTTTTTAACAAAGGCTTTGCCTATAGGAGAGATTGTGACTAATTCTGAGCTCAGAAAATAGGTGATGTTTCTTTAGTTTTTCTGCTTGAGCCCCACATTGTGATGTATTTCTGGTCCCAACAACTGAGGGAAGGGAATCTCCTGTCTGGGTCTTGCCTACAGGGAGACTTGTGAAATATTTCCGCGTTCATCACCTTAAATATGTGACCCTCATCTTCTGCGTGGCCATGTTTACAGAAGGGAGAATGGGTTATTCCTAGACCCAGCACACAGATCATGTGATTCTGCATCCTGGTCTCTTCAGAGGGTTCATTTTGACATATCTCCAGACTCATCAACTAGATGATGTGACGGTCCTCTTCTCCCTGAAACCTATCCATAGTGGAGATTGTGAAATACAGCCTGGCACAGCACCTACATGATGGTGCTCTCTTCTCATGCCTGGGTGCTGCCCACAGGGGTCATTGTGACATAGCTGGGTACAGTCTTCAGGTGATGTAACTCTCCTCTATTTTGGGGTGCACACACACAGGGCATTACCATATAGCTCTGCTCCTCAGACCTAGGTGATGTGACTCTCCTGTCTGTTACCTCCTCTTAGGGGGTATTGTGATATATTGCTGGGCCCAGAACCGAGGTGATGTGGCCTTTTCTCTTGCCTGGGCCCTGCATACATGGTGTACAGTAACATATATCTGGGTTGAACACATAGGTGATGTGACTCTTCTGCATAGGTCTTGCCAACAGGGGTATTATGACATACCTTTCTATTCATTGCCTAGGCTATGTGACTCTCCACTCTTATCTGGGCCCTTCCAAAAGAGGGGATTGTGACATATCAGTGACCCTACCACCAAGGTGATGTGACTGTTCTCTTTTGCCTGGGTTTGCATATTTTGGGTATTGTGACATATCCCCGGGCCCAACACTTAGGGGATAAAAGGCTTATTCCTCTACCTTATGCACAGAGAAACTTGTGACGTTTTTCTGCATTCATCACCAAGGAGATGTGACTCTCCTACCTGCATCCTGACCACAGAGAGGATTGTAACATATTGCTAGATCCAGCACCCAGGTGATGTGACTCTGCTGCCTGGTTCCTAATTTAAGGAGTGGATTGCTACATACCCATGCCTGAGCATTCAGGTAATGTGTCTCTGTTCTCTGGTCCCTGTTCTCAGGGAAGCGACATATCCCTGGCCCAGCGTCCAACTGATTTTACTCTCCTTCTCTCTTCCTATATGAAGGTGTAATTGTGACTTATATCTTGGAACACAACACACAGGTGCAATGATGACTTTCATATGTCACACCAGCCAATAGGAGAGATCCTGCTTCTCCTACCGACACTTAGGGAAATGAAAAAAAAAAAATCCCTGGGTCTCCTCGTTAAGATCATCCACTCTCTCACATATTACAGAAAGCCCTCGGGTGGTAGAGAGTCTTATCACAGGGCCCAGCACACAGGTGAAATTTGTTACTCCTATGCGCACCCTGCACCCTCCTGGCCATTATGATTTTCACCCTCACATATAAACAGAACCCACTTGTGGGGTCCTGAATTTCACACATGAATGCAGTTTATAGTTGGAATTGCGAATCTCATATGTAAAGATCTGGCCACAGTTGGAATGGGAACTTCGTTATAAACCCACCGCATAGAAAGGTGATGATTCTCTTATCTGGACCCCGCCAATTGTAAAGATGTTGACTCATATATAGGCTTAGGGCCACAGGTTTGATCCTGGGTCCATACCAGCATGAAAATCTCTGAAAGAATTGAGACTGTCATGCATACCATATAAAGCCCTCAGGTGCAACACAGAAACTCCTAATAGGGCTCAGCACACAGTAATATAATGACATTGGGATGCACACCCAGCCAACATTAAAGATTGTCATTCTTTCACATGATCATAGTTCACTTTTGAGGCTCTGAATCCCATACCCAAAGGCAGTTTCAAAAGTTGAAAAACTGAGCCTTTTTTATGTGTCTTTTGGCTGTATACATATCTTCTTTTGAGAACTGTCTGTTCATATCCTCGCCCACTTGTTGATGGGTTTGTTTGCTTTTTTCTTATAAACTTGTTTGAGTTCTTTGTAGATTCTGGGTATTAGCCCTTTGTCAGATGAGTAGATTGAAAAAATTTTCTACCATTCTGTAGGTTGCCTGTTCACTCTGATGGTAGTTTCTTTTTCTGTGCAGAAGCTCTTTAGTTTAATTAGATACCATTTGTCAATTGTGGCTTTTGTCGCCATTGCTTTTGGTGTTTTAGACATGAAGTCCTTGCCCATGCCTATGTTCTGAATGGTATTGCCTAGGTTTTCTTCTAGGGTTTTTATGGTTTTAGGTCTAACATTTAAGTCTTTAATCCATCTTGAATTAATTTTTGTGTAACGTGTAAGGAAGGGATCCATTTTCAGCTTTCTACATATGGCTAGCCAGTTTTCCCAGCACCATTTATTAAATAGGGAATCCTTTCCCCATTTCTTGTTTTAGTCAGGTTTGTCAAAGATCAGATAGTTGCAGATGTGTGGCACTATTTCTGAGGGCTCTGTTCTGCTCCATTTGGTACCAGTACCACGTACTCTGATTTGGTACCAGTACCATGATGTGCTGCTATAAAGACACATGCACACGTGTGTTCATTGTGGCATTATTCACAATAGCAAAGACTTGGAACCAACCCAAATGTCCAATAATCATAGATTGGATTAAGAAAATGTGGCACATATACACCATGGAATACTATGCAACCATAAAAAATGATGAGTTCATGTCCTTTGTAAGGACATGGATGAAGCTGGAAATCATCATTCTCAGCAAACTATCGCAAGAACAAAAAACCAAACATGGCATGTTCTCACTCCTAGGTGGGAACTGAACAATGAGAACACTTGGACACGGGAAGGAGAACATCACACACCGGGGCCTGTTGTGGGATGGGGGAGGGGGAAGGGATAACATTAGGAGATATACCTAATGTAAATGAGGAGATAATAGGAGCAGCACAGCAACATGGCACATGTATACATATGTAACAAACCTGCACGTTATGCACATGTACCCTAAAACTTAAAGTACAATAAAAAAAGTTGAAAAACTGACTCTCATATGTGAGAGTCACAGATATGTTGATGACTCTCATATCATGAGTCGGCACACCTGTGAAGCCGTGATTTCAATTAGGGGAGAAAGTCTGCAAGAGAAAATGGGGCTGCCATGCACAAATTTAGTCCACTATTGAGATAGTGACTTGTGTACTTAGATCAAACATACAGAAGGTGTTCACTCTCATGCGTAAAACCAGAATATGTGCGGGATTCATCCCATGTCTAGAACTTCCTGCAGGTGTCATTGTGACAAACATACACATTTGTCCAGCACCTGAGTGAGTAGACTCTCCTGTTTAAGCCCAGCTCACAAATAAAATTGGGACATATCATTGGACCTAGAACGTAGGTGATGTGGCTCTATTCTCTCGACTTGTGCTGCCCACAGGGAGCATTGTAACATATCACTGAACTTAACACCTAGGAGATTGGGGGCTCCTGCCTGAACTCTGCCCACAGGGAGGCAGAGCATATTTCTGCCTTGTAGCATATTTCTGCCTCCATCACCAGATGATGTGACTCTCCTTTCTGCCTGCACCTTGCCCACAGGAAAAATTCTGACATATCACTGGGCCTAGTAATCAGTAATCAGGTGATGTGTCTCTCCTGCCATGGCTTTACCCACAGGGAGTGTGGTGACATATCACTGAGCTCAATATTCAGGTGATTTGACTCTGCTGCTTGTACTCTGATTTCAGGAGGGGATTGTAACATATCCCAGGTGAGCACACAAGTGATGGGACTCCCTTCCTAGCCTCCGACCTCATAAAAGATTGTTACATATCCCTGGCCCAGCCTTAGGTATGTGACTCTCCTACCTGGTCCCTGCGACTCTCCTGCTCACTCCCTACCCACAGGAGAGATTGAAACATATATCTTGGCCAGCTCACAGGTGTAATAATGACTCTCATACCTCAAACCTGCCACTAAGAGAAATGCTGTTTTTCCTAGTGAGGCTTTGGAAAATCAGTAGGTCCTAAATCTTCTCTTTGTATGAGGGTCTTAGAGGAATACCACTCTCTCTTATATTATATAAAGCCCTTAAATGGTACAAAGAGTGTTACCACAGGGATATGTTGCATAACCTAGGGGAGGGGTCCAGTTATATGTCACAATTAGCCCAGGGGGCAGGGCACAGGCATGAGAAGAATCTCACCACATATGTGCTGGCCTAAGTGATACATCATCATCCCCACTGTGGACAGGTCGCAGTAAGAACAGGAGAGTCACATCATTCTTATAATGGTCTCAGATATACATCACAATGACTCCCCTGGGCAGAAAGAAGGGATAAGAGTCACATCACCTGTGGGCTAGGCCCAGAGATGTCACTCTTACTTCTGTGGGCATGTCTCAGGCTGGAGAGGAGAATCACATTACCTAAGCACTGGACCAAGAAATACGTCACAGTCTTTCTCATGGGCAAAGTCCAGGTAAGAGAATAGAGCCACATCAAATAGTTCATGGGCTCAGAGATATGTCACTATGCTCCCTGTGGGCAGGGTTCAGGTAGGACCCTTACATTACCTTGGTGCTGGTTCAGCAATATGTCCCAATGCCTTCTAAGGACAGAACAAAGACAAAAGAGTAAAATCATTTTGGTGTTTTACCCATCGATATGTCACAATCTTCCCCGTGGGCAGAACCTGAAAAAAGGGAAGAGTCATATTAGCTAAATGCTGCGCCTAGCGATAAGTCAAAATTCACCCTGTAAGCAGGGACTAGACAGAAGATAGAGTTACATCATCTGGTGGCTGGTGCAGGGATACGCCACCATGCCCTCTCTAGGCAGGATCCAGACAGGAGAGCTATGTTGCCTGTGTTTTGGACCCAAAAATATGTCACAAACGCCCATGGACAGAGCACAGGAAAGACAGGCACATAACCTGAATATCAGGTTCAGTGGTATGTCCCAATGCCTCCTGTGAGCATTCCAAGGCAGGAGAGGAGACTCACATTACCTGTGTGCAAGACCCAGTGATACGTCACACGGAGGAGTACCACTGTCTTGCATATTGTGTAAACTATGGTAGAGAAATTGTCACCAAAGGGCTCAGCACACTGGTGAGATTATACTTCTCAGATTCACACCACACCAATATTCAGGATGGTCTCTATCACATGTGGAGAGAGCCCACTCTTGAGGTCCTGAATTACACATGCAGACATAGTCCACAACTGGGATTCTGACTTTCATATGTGAACATCCAGCCACAGGTGGGATGGTGACTCATTTTTAAACGCAGCTCATAGGCAGTTAAGAACTCTTATTTGGACCCATCCAAGTAGAAAGATGTTGACTGTCATACCAGGGCTTAAAGCTAAAGGTACAAGGAGGGGTCCGTGCCTGCTTAAGGTTTCAGAGAGAATTGTTACACTCATGCATACTCTATAAAGGCTTCATATGGTGAAGAGAGTGTCCTGCTAGGGCCCAGAACAAAGGTGAGATTGTGATACTCATATGTACACTGAGCGAAGAGCAAAAATTGTCATCTTTTCACATGAACACAGCCCAATGTTAAGGTTCCGAATCTCACACCTGTTGATCTACCTGCTGATGGAATAGTCTGTCAAGAGAAAGCAGAGATGCACGAGCATCAATCTGGAAAACAGCAATAATGGTAGTGTGCACCAGGATTCAGATATCTTCCTAGTATTGTTTTCTCCAAACCTCTTTATTCGTAATTCACCATTTGTTTCATTGCCATTCGGGCAACTAGGTAGTAAGACCATTTTCTGCTAAGCAAGAGTAGGTATACAAGTAACAAATCCCTCTGGCCTCCTCCTGAATAGTTCAGAGAACAGATTCTAGTTCAGCCAGCTGGCTGCTAACACCCCTCCCTTCCTCAGAAATGCTTATGTTTTTAACAGGATTATAAGCCACGGCCTCCCAGCATCGGGTCCCATCAATATATTTGGTGGAATCATCAGCAAACCAAGCATGTCTCTGATCGTCTGGGCTTGGTTCTTTAAAGGATTTGCCCCATTGGGCAGGGGAGGTTTCCTTCCTTATCTGCAGGACTTGCTCAGTGGTTTGCTGAGCTGGCAAGTTTTGCACATCCTCATTTAAAAATGATACCTGTTTTGGTTCCGGCTTAGCCTGGTCTTGTATGTGCCATTTCCATTTACTTTCTTGAGTGTACCCTATCCAATGAGGTTTGAGGGAGTTCATGACCCAAGTCATATTAGGAATTTGGGGCCTCATAAAAACATCATGATTAAGACAAAGGTGTTCTGTTTCCTGTAAAGCCCAGTAGCAGGTCAACAGCTGCTTCTCAAAGAGTATAAGCTTTGCTAGCCTCTGACAGCTTCTGGGTCTAAAACCCCAAAGGTATCTCTTCCCATCTTGTTTCTACCTAAGGCTCCAATGAGCGTGTTGATCTAGGACAGTTACTTGCAGTTCTACTGGCCCATCCTGTAAGGGCCATACTGTTGCTCTGCTTGTTTGGCTGGTTGAAAAGCCACGCTCACTTTCTGTCTTCAGTGAAAGTCATAGCGTTTTCTAGTGACTGCATGCAGAGGTTGTAAAATGTTACCCAAATGGGGAATATGATGTCTCCAGAATCCAAACAAACCAATACAATTTTGGACCTCCTTTTCAGTGGTAGGGCTGCAAATTCTAGTATTTTAGCCTTAGCCTTTGGTAAAATGGACTGTTTCCCTGCATTCCATAGGATGCCAAGGAACTTTACAGTTTGTGGAGGTCCTTGAATTTTACTAGGGTTAACTTCCCATCCTTGAGATAGGATTTGGGTTTTTACCGGATCCAAGCCCCAGCTGACTAGTTCTTCAGTTTTACCCTGACTGGGCCACTCAGGCAGCTGCTTTTTTCAGCAATAGGCTGATAACTTTGAGGCTGATCAGTCAAGACATAGGCCTGGCCATGGGCCAGGGCCAGCCTGGAAGTCAGATTAGCATTTTCTTTTCTGGCTTACATTTCTGTTGTAGCAGCTGATTCCTATCTTGACACATTAACTTATAAGCAGTAAGCAAGCACCATCCATGCCGGGAAATTCTCTCAGCATCCCATTTACCAACTGGGATTCCCTGCACCTCCTCACACACAGCCAATGATTCAAAATGCACTAACTTAGATTGCCTATTTTCACAAACGTCAGCTCCCTTGGACCACTGAATGGCCAAGGGGAAGAACTAAGGGAGTTCCCATCTGAAGATATGGAAAGTCCCCGAGCTCCCAGTCTGGTCCCTGCACCAAAAAATGGCATGCTTTTGCTTTCGGATCCTGTTCGTGAAGCCAAAAATGTTCTGCGCAGGAAATGCTCAAGGAGAGAAGGAAACACACACACACACACACACACACACACACACACACACACAATACCTTTAAGGGTAAACAAACTGTATCCCACGTAAATGGCAATGCAGATATAATAAGCAAATGATATAATAAGCAAGTTGCAATGGGACGGAGAGAAGGGAAAAGAGATATATATATTTACACTCATCAGACTATGGAGGATTCACCACCAGACTGCGAAGCAACAGACTGGGCTCCAGAGTTGGCCACTTGTCCGTGAACAGATGAGAAGAGATCTCATGAAGTTTTGGCACAGTCTGGAACTCTAGCTCTTTTTGTAATGAGTTATCTGGCATGACGTCCAGTCAGGAGGGCCCTTCATTTCTGGGCTCAAGGAAAAGAAAAAGGTCAACTTGTTTTTTTGATTGTCTGTTGTTTTTCAGTAACTAACATATAGGAATAAATTGAAATAGAGATTTATCCGAAACAGCGCTGGATGAAAGCCTCAAGGGGCTCACACAACCTGTTCCAGGACTTGGTGACCATTGTTTGAGTCCAGATTCAATTGAGTTCAAATTTAATATTTAAATTTTACTCCACAAAGTGTCAAAAGTAATTCCTTCAAATGCAGGAAATTATGTAACTACTCACAAACTAAACTTCTCAACCAAAAGTCATAAATTGAGTATAGGAATTAAAAAAAAAAGAAAGAAAATCTAACTACATCTGTCTAAAGGGACTCAATTTATTTATTTATTTATTTTAGAGACTTGGTATTGCTTTGTTTCCCAGGCTGGTCTCAAACTCCTGGTTTCACGTGATCCTCCCACCTCAATCTCCTAAAATGCTAGGATGACAGATATGAGCCATCTTACTCTATAGTAACAAAAACAGACTAAATGTGGCAAGATGCATCCAAAAAATTATGCAAATCATAACCAAATGAGGACAGACTATGTCACAATTATAGTATGCAAAATGCTTTTTAAATAACTGTCTTAGTTTATAAAATATATTATGAAATCAAATTGTCAGAAAAACAAAGGACAAAATAATAAAAGGGTTTATTCACTGGAAACCTATGACAATTATACACATTTACATAATTGTGTGTATATATCTAATTATGTATTCACACCAATATGTATGCACCTTACATGAGTATTTTTAAATATCTCAATAATATCTTGACAGAACATAAGCAAAAACGGCAATATATTAAAAGTATAATATTTTAATACACCAGTTCTGTAATTAATAAAAAAGCCAGATAGAATATTAAAAAGTAAACAGACGACATGAAAATACTGTAAAGCAATTAGATATAACAGATGCATACAGAACACTCTACACAAAAACAAAACTCACAATCTTCTCAAAAGCTCATGAAACATTCTCCTAAAAATAACTATGAAGCCAAAAAACAATTCTGAACAGAATTTTTGAAAAATTGAATGTTACAAAAAATTCAAAAAATCAATGAATATAGGAGTTATTTTTTTGAAAAGATCAACAAAATAGACTGCTAGCAAGACTAATAAAGAAAAGAGAGAAGAATCAAAGAGAAGCAATAAAAAATGATAAAGGGGCTATCACCCCTGATCCCATAGAAATACAAACTACCATCAGAGAATGTTATAAACACCTCTACGCAAATAAACTAGAAAATCTAGGAGAAATGGGTAAATTCCTGGACATATACATCCCCCACAAGACTAAACAAGGAAGAAGTTGAATCTCTGAATAGACCAATAACAGGTTCTGAAATTGAGGCAATAATTAATAGCCTACCAACCAAAACAAGTCGAGGACCAGACGGATTCACAGCTACATTCTACCAGAGGTACAAAGGGGAGCTGGTACCAACCCTTCTGAAACTATTCCAATCAATGGAAAAAGAGGGAATCCTCTCTAACTCATTTTATGAGACCAGCATCATCCTGATACCAAAGTCTGGCAAAGACACAACAAAAAGAGAAAATTTTAAGCCAATATTCCTCATGAACATCGATGCAAACATTCTCAATAAAATACTGGCAAACCGAATCAGGCAGCACTTCAAAAAGCTTAACCACCAAGATCAAGTGTGCTTAATCCCTGGGATGCAGGTTCAACATATGCATATCAGTAAACATAATCCATCACATAAACAGAACAAATGACGAAAACCACATGATTATCTCAATAGATGCAGAAAAGGCCTTCGAAAAAATTCAACAGCCTTTCATGCTAAAAAATGCTCAATAAACTAGATATTGACAGAATGTACCTCAAAATAATAGGAACTATTTATGACAAACTCACAACCAATATCATGCAGAATGGGCAAAAACTGGAAGCACTCCCTTTGAAAACCGGCACAAGACAAGAATGTCCTCTCTCATCACTCCTATTCCACATAGTGTTGGAAGTTATGGCCAGGGCAATCAGGCAAGAGAAAGAAATAAAGCATATTCAACTAGGAAAAGAGGAAGTCAAATTGTCCCTGTTTGCAGATGACATGATTGTATATTTAGAAAACTCCGTCGTCTCAGCCAAAAATCTCCTAAGCTGATAAGCAACTTCAGCAAAGTCTCAGGATACAAAATCAATGTGCAAAAATCACAAACATTCCTACAATACCATACAGAGAGTCAAATCCTGAGTGAACTCCCATTCACAATTGCTTCAAAGAGAATAAAATACCTAGGAATCCAACTTACAAGGGATGTGAAGGACCTCTTTAAGGAGAACTACAAACCACTGCTCAACGAAATAAAAGAGGACACAAACAAATGGAAGAACATTCCGTGCTCATGGAAAGGAAGAATCAATATTGTGAAAATGGCCATGCTGCCCAAGGTAATTTATGGATTCAATGTCATCCCCACCAAGCTACCATTGACTTTCTTCACAGAATTGGAAAAAACTACCTTGAAGTTCATATGGAACCAAAAAAGAGCCCGCATAGTCAAGACAATCCTAAGCAAAAAGAACAAAGTTGGAGGAATCGCGCTACCTGACTTCAATCTATAATACAAGGCTACAGCAAGGAAAGCAGCATGGTACTGGTACCAAAACAGATACATAGACCAATGGAACAGAACAGAGGCCTCAGAAATAACACCAAACATCTACAACCATCCGATCTTTGAAAAAAACTGACAAAAACAAGCAATGGGGAAAGGATTCCTTATTTAATAAATGGTGCTGGGAAAACTGGCTGGCCATATGCAGAAAACTGAAACTGGATCCCTTCCTTACACTGTATACAAAAATTAAGTGAAAATGGATTAAAGACTTAAATGTAAGACCTAAAACCATAAAAACTTACAAGAAAACCTAGGCAATACCATAGGCATGGACAAAGACTTCATGACTAAAACACCAAAAGCAATGGCAACAAAGCCAAAATTGACAAACGGGACCTACTTAAACTAAAGAGCTTCTTGTAAAGGGCCCGCTAGGCATACCCAAAGCGGGCAGAAGGCTCCTCAGGGGAAGGTAAGGTTTGAGGGAGTGCAGGTGAGGCACCTGTGGCAGAAAAAAAAAAACGCAAAACAAAAAAAAAAAATTCGCCGCCAAGAAGCGTTCCTGGTTCCCCCACGGACGAAAGTGCCTTCCCATCAGTCCCTGCACTGGGCCTTGGATACTCTGGCGTCCCTGGTTCGAACCCAGGGAGCGACTCAGGCCCGCTAGGGGTACCCCAAAGCGGGCAGAAGGCCCCTGAGGGGAAGGTTAGGTTTGAGGAAAGGGAGGTGAGGCACCTGTGGATGAAAAAAAAAAAAAGAAAAAAACTCAGCGTCGAGACGCATTCCTGGGTCCCCCACGGAAGAAAGTGCCTTCCCATCAGTCCCTGCGCTGGGCCCCGGTGACCCTGGCGTCCCCGGTTCGAACCAAGGGTGCGTCTCGGGCCCGCTAGGGGTACCCCAAAGCGGGAAGAAGGTCCTTGAGGGGAAGTTAAGGTTTGAGGGAGGGGAGATGAGGCACCTGTGGCAGGAAAAAAAAAAACCGCGCCGCCAAGAAGCGGAGACTGGGTCCCCCAAGGACGAAAGTGCCTTCCCATCAGCCCCCGCGCATGGCCCCGTGAACCTGGCGTCCCTGGTTCGAACCCAGGGTGCGTCTCGGGCCCGCTAGGGGTACTCCAAAGCTAGCAGAAGGCCCTTGAGGGGAAGGTTAGGTTTGAGGGAGGGGAGGCACCTGTGGCAGGAAAAAAAAAACAAACCGAGCCGTCGAGAAGCCGAGACTGGGTCCCCCAGGGACGAATGTGCCTTCCCATCAGCCTCTGCTCTGGGCCTGGGGACCCTGGCGTCACTGGTTGAACACAAGGAGCGTCTCGGGCCCACTAGGGATACCTCAAAGTGGGCAGAAAGCCCCTGCGGGGAAGGTAAGGTGTGAGGGAGAGGAGGTGAGTCACCTGTGGCACAAAAAAAAAAAAAAAACGCGCCACCGAGAAGCGTTCCTGGGTCCCCCACGGACGAAAGTTCCTTCCCATCAGCCCCTGTGCTGGACCGCGGGGACCCTGGCGTCCCTGCTTAGAACCCACGCAGCGTCTCGGGCCGGCTAGGGGTACACCAAAGCGGACAAAAGCCACTGAGGGGAAGGTAAGCTTTGAGGGAAGGGAGGTGAGGCACCCGTGGCAGGAAATAAAAAAAAAAAGCGCCCCGGAGAACCGGGGCCTGGGTCCCCCACGGACAAAAGTGCCTTCCCATCAGTCCCTGGGTTGGGCTCCGGTTACCATGGATCGCCGGTTCCAACTCAGGGCCCTCTCGGGCCCGCTAGGGGTACCACAAAGCGGGCAGAAGGCCCCTGAGGGGAAGTTAAGGTGTGAGGGAGGGGTGGTGAGGCAGCTGTAGCAGAAAAAAAAAGGAAAAAACAGCGCGCCTCCGAGTAGCGTTCCTGGGTCCTTCTCGGAAGAAAGTGCCTTCCCATCAGCCCCTGCGCATGGCCCCGGGACCCTGGTGTCCCTTCGAACCCAGGGAGAATCTCGGCCCGCTAGGGTTTCCCCAGTGCGGGCAGAAGGCCCCTGAGGGGAAGGTGGGGTTTGAGGGAGGGAAAGTGCAGCACCTGTGGCAGGAAAAAAAACAAAACAGAACTCGCCACCAGGAAGCGTTCCTGGGTCCTGCACGCACGAAAGTTCCTTCCCTTCAATCCCTGCGCTGGGACCCGGGGACCCTGGCGTTCCTGATTCCAACCCAGGGAGGGCCTCGGGCCAGCTAGGGGTATCGCAAAGTGGGCAGAAGGCCCCTGAGGGGAAGGTTAGGTTTGAGGGAGGGGATGTGAGGCACCTGTGGCAGGAAAAAAAAAAATCGCGCCGCCGAGAAGCGGGGCCTGGGTCCCCCATGCACGAAACTGCCTTCCCTTCAACCCCTGCTCTGGGTCCCAGGGAACCTGGCGCCCCTGATTCGAACCCATGGAGCTTCTCGGGCCCGCTAGGGGTACCCCAAAGCGGGCAGAAGGCCCCTGAGGTGAAGGTAAGATTTGAGGGAGGGGAGGTGAAGCACCTGTGTCAGGAAAAAAAAAAAAAAAAATCAACCGCGCTGCCGAGAAGCGTTCCTAGGTCTTCCACGGACGAAAGTGCCTTCCCATCAGCCCCTGCACATGGCCCCGGACCCTGGTTCGAACCCAGGGAGCGTCTCGGTCCCGCTATGTGTACCCCAAAGCGGGCAGAAGGCCCCTGAGGGGAAGGTTAGGTTTGAGGGAGGGGAGGTGAGTCACATGTGGCAGGGAAAAAAAAGAAAAAAAAAGAAAAAAAAACCTCACAGCCGAGAAGCGGGGCCTGTGTCCCCCATGCACGAAAGTGCCTTCCCATCAGCCCTCGCTCACAGCCCCGGGACCGTAGCGTACCTGGTTCGAAACCAGGGTGCAAACAAAACTATTATCAGATTGAACAGGCAACCTACAGAATGGGAGAGAATTTTTGCAATCTACCCATCTGACAAAGGGCTAATATCAGGAATCTACAAATAGCTAAAACAAATTTACAAGAAAAAAAAACAACCCTATCAAAAAGTGGGGAAAGGATATAACAGACACTTTTCAAAGGAAGACATTTATGCAGCCAACAGACATATGAAAAATTGCTCATCATTGGTCATCAGAGAAATGCGAATCAAATCCACAATGAGATATCATCTCACGCCAGTTAGAATGGCGATCTTTAAAATTTCAGGAAACAACAGATGCTGGAGAGGATGTGGAAAAATAGAAACACTTTTACACTGTGGGTAGGAGTGTAAATTAGTTCAACCATTGTGGAAGACAGTGTGGTGATTCCTCAGGGATCTAGAACCAGAAATACCTTTTGACTCATCAATCCCATTACTGGGTATATACCCAAAGAGTTATAAATCATGCTACTATAAAGACACACACACACATATGTTTATTGCGGCATTATTCACAATAACAAAGTCTTGGAACCAACGCAAATGTCCATCAATGATAGATTGGATTAAGAAATTGTGGAGCATATACAGCATGGAATACTATGCAGCCATAAAAAGGATGGGTTCATGTCCTTTACAGGGACATGGATGAAGATGGAAACCATCATTCTCAGCAAACTATCACAAGGACTTCAAACCAAACACCGCATGTTCTCACTTATAGGTTGGAGTTGAACAATGAGAACACATGGACACAGGGCGGGGAACATCTCACATTGGGGCCTGTTTGGGGGTGACGGACTATGAAAGGAATAGCGTTAGGAGAAATACCTAATGTAAATGATGAGTTGATGGGAGCAGCAAACCAACATGGCACATGTATACCTGTGTAACAAACCTGCACGTTCTGCACATGTACCCTAGAACTTAAAGTATAATAAAAAAATTGAATGTTACATACTATAATTTCTGACCAAAAAGGATTAAAACTAGCAATCGATAACAGAAGAAAATTCATACAATTCACAAATATGTAAAAATTAAGCAATTTACTCTTGAACATGCTTTTGTTCAAGAGTTAGAAAACTTACTATTTTGAACATGTCTATAATGCCAAAAGTGACCTACAGATTTAATACAATCCCTATAAAATTCTTAATTTTATTTTTGACAGATACAGAAAATGTGACTCCCAAAAGTATATGGAATTTCAGGAGACCACAAAGAACTCTACAGTTTTCAAAAAGAGAAAAATTTTGGAAACATTACAGTTCCTGTTTTCAAAACCTGTTACAAATCTACAGTAATCTAAGTAGTTTGTTACTGGCATAAAGACAGACAAATAGACTAATAAAACCGAGTGCAAAAAAGATGTAAACGCTCACGTATTTATTGTAGCTTTACTTACAAAAATCAATAGGTTAAAGCAATCCATACTTCCCTCAACAAACAAATGAATGGGTACAATTTGGAATATAAAAACAATAGAATATTACCCAGCTTTTGAAAAGCAGAAAACCTTTTATCTATAATAAAAATAAAATCTTGATGACATTATGCTAAATAAAATAAGCCAGCTACAAGACAGATACTGAGTGTATCCACATGTATAAAATATCTAAAGTAGTAACATCCTTAGAAACAGAGAATAAGATAGCATTTGTAAAGGGCTGAACAAAGGAGAAGACAGGCAGTTGTTTCAGGTGTATTGAGTTTTAGTTTTGTAAGATAAAAATGTTCTAGAGATACGTCGAATAATGTCAATGTGCTGAAAAGTCTAAACTATATAATTATTGTCATTGTAAATTATTGTAAAATTGTAAATAATTGTCAATTTTATATGTTTCTTATAACAATGTAAACAATAATAATATCTAAGTGAGATACCGTTTTAATGCATTTCAATAATTATCTTCAGGACCTCGGCAAAACCTGAGTCCTGTCCTCTCGCTTTCCTCCCCGTACACAGCGAGCTTCACCACTTGCTCCGCACCTTCTCCATCAACTACTACCTGTCCCTGGGATCTGTCCAGTCGCCCAGCTAAAGTGCTCAGCAGGTCAGCAGCGCGGCGAGCTTCTATGAGGCGTGGGGTCTGGGGCTCCTGGATCTCTGTGTCCCATTTCACAGAGATTGCCACCTACTGCCGCCTGCTAGAAGATGGGGAGGACTTCAATCTTGGTGGTATTCTGGACAGCAGCAAATACCTGTAAAGCATCCAAAAGACCAACACCCACAGGATAGTGGACGGCAAAGTGGTGTCTGAGACCAACATCACAGACGTCTTGAGGTGCTAAACCAGCAGAAGCAAGGTCCCTTTGCGGAGCAGGAGGGCAATAAAAACTTCTGTGGTCAAAAAAAAAAAAAAAAAAAATTACCCTCGCATCACAGAGGTGTTTTCCTCACGCAAACGTAATATAGATTCATTAATACATAGATGTGGAAATTAGGGCAATTTCCACAACTACTCACCCAGAGAGGATTAAAAAAATAATTGACCACCAACTAATTAAATAAATACAGAAGTCATAAATAAAGCATGAGTAATGTTTATACAGTCAAACGAACAGAGAATTATGTTTGCAATACACATATGGTTGATTCATATTTGACTTTTTTTCTACACTCTTTTAAAGTGTACACAGTTAAATATAGTCATAAAAAATTATAACATATAAGCAGAAACTAAAAACACAATTAAATGATGTAAGACAGCCTATCCTAACAGGAAAATACAGGAATATAAAATATTACAAAACAAAATTGGATAAACATTAACCTGTGAAATACTGAATAAACAAATCATGCAACTGAAGAAGACTCTTTCTAGATAACTGAAATATTCAACCATAACTGGACACCCATAAAGAACAGATTTTGAATTATTAGCATATGGTTAGAGTAACAAAATTTCACAACAAATGCATTATAATCTTCTATAAAGAACATTTAGAAGAAAATTTTAATGAAGATTTCAATGATATTAGAGAACAGAGTCTCGCTCTGTTACCCAGGCTGGAGTGTAGTGGCGAGACCTCGGCTCACTGCATCCTCCACCTACCAGGCTGAAGCAATTCTCTGCCCCAGCCTCCCGAGTAGCTGGGATTATAGGCACCCGCCCCCATGCCCTGCTCATTCTTTCTGTGGTTTTTGTGGAGACGGGGTTTCACCATGTTGGCCAGGCTGGTCTTGAACCCCTGACATTGTGATCCACCCACCTCAGCCTCTTAAAGTACTGGGATTACAAGCGTGAGCCACCGCACTGGCCTATAATTTGTTTTTTTTTTTAAGTAAAGAAAAGCTTTACATTTTTAAATATGGGAACAACATGAATACTGAAAAATATGCAATGAAACACTACTACATAATAAGCAATGAGAAATAAATTATACTATCATTCAGATAATGTTGAGGAAAGTTAATAGAAACACTAATGATAAGTTTTTCTATGCAGTAAACTTAGACACACAAACTGAAATTTTATTAATGTGAGGTGCATACTAAGTAATTCACTTTTTATATAACACATAAATTCAAGTATGCTATTCTGAAATCCCTGAAGCTAAAATTATAGGCTAATTTGGGATACATAAAAATCAAAAAGTGAAAACGTGCAGATCACAGTCCCACTAAGCTTTATATAAGATTAAATAATAAAATAACTCAATAAGAAATCATGTAACAATTAAGAATTTATTCTATTCTTGGCAGGTTTCTAAGTTTTTCTATGGCATTAAGGTCTTTAAAAATTCTTTGAGGTGAGTAGATACAATAAACTATTCCACAGGTGAGGTGCTTGGCATAGAGAGTTCACGTTTTTAAGTTAATTTCTACCAAGGAAAAGAAAACTTTTTGACCTACATTACCAGAGATGAAAAAAAGAATAAAGTGAAATAGAAGCTTCACTATATCATATGTGCTGAGGTGTTTTGGGCTCTGATAAAAGTTTTTCCGATTTTTTTGCAGGATCACATTTGAAATCATAGGACTGAAAATTATGAAGCAGAAACATTTGTCCTTGGTGTTTCTGAAATATGTGAACCAAACCCCAATGCCTGCACTTTTACTCTCACAAACTTCTGACATGAGGAACAGATTTTTACAAAATAGCTTAATATAGAAGTCTCGCAAAATGTGCAGATTTCCCCAGATCCCCCAAAACAATGGAAAAGCACTCAGACCACAAGGCCTTCAAGGGAATAACAGAAAGAAGAGGAGAACTTCGGCTGTCACTGTGAATGCCCTGGAATGTTAGTGGAGGGACAGGAGGAGCCTTAGAAGATTTAGGAGCATAATAAGCATAGGGTAGGAAATGTCCATCTGTGGCAGCAAAAGAAGTAAATCTAGGATCTTCCAGAACCAATTTCATTGAAGCGAACTTCCCACATCACATTTTTAAAGTTTCCTCCTTGGCCTTTGCACCTCTCATCTTTGTTATTTGTTCATTATTGCCTATTGGGGTGATGCCTATTATTTTCTCTCTTTTTACATTCCAAAGATATTTCCTTTACTGTAGAACAGGGGCATCCAAGGGAGAATCTCACCACGACCCCAGGTCTAGAGCGCCCGGAGTCCGCCATCCCTGGGAATGGAGGCGGCTTCGGCCTGGGGTCGTGGTGAGATTCGTTGGTGGCTGCGCGATTGTGGCGGAGTTGCAAGCAAACGGGTTTCATCACCTTAAATGGTTTTGAACCAAAGAAGCTGTATTCCCTTAAAAAGACGGACAACCCATCGTGTGAACTATAGAGTTTGTGAACAAATTTATATTGGGTTCATAGTGGCGTCATGCACGCAGACTCCTGCGAGTTCCCCTAAGTTCTTAGAGGACTGCTTTGCCTTTTGATCTGAGAGTTGCAAATTTCCCTAAAGAATGGCCCTTGTGGATAAGCGCTAAGTCAAGAGACAGTGATTGGACAGAATTTGTGAGGAATTCGCCCCCAGATCATGAAAGTCACCCTGAACCCCGCCTCGTGGTGGCTCTGCTGGATGGACGGGACTGCACTGTGGACATGCCCATCCTGAAGGACCTGGCCACCTGGCCTTCTGTGAGGCTCAGTCCATGCAGGAGATCCACGAGAAAGTTCTAAACGAAGTCGTGGGCGCCATGATGTACCACACCTTCTCCCTCACCAGGGAAGACCTGGAAAATTTCAAGGCCCTGAGAGTGATCGTGCAGGTGGGCAGTGGCTACGACAACGTGGCCATCAAGGCTGCTGGCGAGCTCGAAATTGCTGTGTGCAGCATCCCGTCCGCAGCCGTGGAAGAGACAGCCGACTCCACCACCGGCCACATCCTCAATCTGTACTGGGGGAACAGGTCGCTGTACCAGGCACTGAGGGAAGGCACGCGAGTTCAGAGCGTGGAGCAGATTGGCGAGGTGGCCTCAGTAAAGGCTCGCATTCGTGGGGAGATATTGGGCCTCATCGGCTTCGGTCGCACGCAGCAGGAGGTTGCAGTTCGAGCCAAGGCCTTTGCAGGATGGGATCGAGCGGTCCCTGGGTGTGCATAGGGTCTACACCCAGCAGGATTTGCTGTATCAGAACGACTGCGTCTTCTTGCATTGCAATCTCAACGAACAAAACTACCACCTTATCCATGACTTTACTATAAAGCAGATGAGGCAGGGAGCATTCCTTGTGAACGCAGCCCGTGGTGGCCTGGTGGACGAGAAAGCCTGAGCACACATCCTCAAGGAGGGCAGAATACGAGGGGCAGCCCTCGACGTGAATGAGTCGGAGCCCTTTAGTTTTGCTCGGGGTCTGTTGAAAGATGCCTGGAATCTCATCTGCACTCCTCTCACTGCCTGCTACAGCCAGCAGGTGTCACTGGAGATGAGCGAGGCAGTTGCCACTGAGATCCGCCAAGCCATCATAAGTCGCATCCCGGGAAGCTTAAGAAACTGTGTGAACAAGGAATTCTTTGTCACATCAGCGCTTTGGTCCGTAATAAACCAGCAAGAAATTCATCCTGAGCTCAGTGGTGCTACCTACAGATATCTGCCAGGCATGGTGGGCGTGGCTCCAGGAGGACTTCTGCAGCCAGGGAAGACATCATCCCTGGAGACATCCCAGTGACTGACAACCTCCCAACAGTGGTACATCCTTCCCAAGGGCCCTCTCCCAACAGCCCACAAAACACGGGGACAGTCGAGAGCATCCCAACGAGCAATAGCAGAGAATGCCGGAAGGTAATTATTCAGATATACTTGGGAACAGTGAAAAATAGATAATCTAAGAGAAAAAGAATCTGACGGCCTTTTTAGCTGATTCCGGACATATGCATCATTGTTGTTGCAGTGTTAAAACAAGAGCTAGAAAACTGACAATGTCGTCTGCTTACGGAAGCTCTGAAAGACTAGGGTGTGATTTATTAACGCCCAACTTCTATTATTGTGTGTTAAGTTTTTCATCTGTGCATCAAATCACAAAGAATAAATAGAACTTTTCCCTTTATCAGTCCCTTAGGCACAGCAGGTCCTGAACACCCTGCTTATATGTTGCATCAGCAGTTCAAATATGAAAATAAAAACCATGAAGAGGAAATCCGCATCCTGTGACTGGAGTCCCTTCAGTCTACAGGGACTGGTTACCGCTTTTTGCTAATAGGAAGATTACATTACTAGAAAATGTGGAGTAAACTGTTTGCCTGTGGTAAACACCTGCATGCAAAGGATTGAAGACAGTACCGGCTCCTGTACAGAGACGCGTCTCTCACATCTGAGCTGCATATTGAGCGGCAAGTTGGTTGTAAGTTCAGTAAAAGCCGCTGATGATGCAAAAAAAAAAAAAGTATTAAGTTTCACAAGTTGTTAGTAATCAAGTATATTTTCTCAGTTTCAGATCCTCTGCGATTTTATTGAGTGGAAAGTCTTGCGCTGAAAGGGTTCAAGAAAAATAATATTGCATTTCCTTATGTCACAGGAAACACTTTTAATGGTAACTTGTCAGACTATGAACAAACCCACTTTTTAAGATATTGATAAAGTCTTCTTTTCTTCACGTGATATTTTATACAAGTACACTTCAGATGTATTGGATGTGGCTGATTTTAACAAATCCTATTAGATTTGTATCAATTAGTTACATGTTCTATTCATAGTCTTTTGTGAATCATTGCCTTTTTGTTTAAAAAGATGGCCTATTTTGAGCCTTTGTATAAGTACATTCCTGTTTTTGTGACAAAAGAAAAACTTTAAATTTGTCCCAAAGAGAAAAATAATGGCTATCAGAAGTATGCTTTGTTTTAGTGCGAGTTACCGTTACTGTATTTGTGTATTGTAAAGGTGGACATTCTAATTACATTAAAATGTAATTAGAAAAAAGTGCTTAATGAACAAAAACAGAACATAGACAACAAAAGAATATTAGAAGTGATGCATGAAGAAAACGAGATATCAATAAAAAGATTTTTAAAAACCAAGAAAAATTGTGACTCTGAAGAACACAGTAACTATATTAAAAATTTAATCAGCAGTCACAAAAGTGGATTTAATAAAGCAGAAAAAATTAGACAGTTGATAACATTGCACTTATAAATACTGATTCATGAAAACAAATTTTTTAAACAGAATAGAGAAAAAATGAAAATTGGGACTTACTTACAGCACACCACCAAGTGGACCACTGTATTTATAAAAGGAGTCTTAGAAAAACAGTATAGGAGAAAAATAATAAAGAGGATATTTTTAAAAAGTAGCTGAGAACTCCCTAGATGACAAGGTAATTAAACAAGAAGAAATCATGCTAAACAAAAACCTTCAACTGGAATAATTTCACTTCAGAAAAAAAAGTTAAGCATTTCCAAAACAAATAAAAGTTGAGTGTGTTACTGACCACTGGAACACTGCTAAAGGAAATGTAAAAGAAAGTCTATCACGTCCAAAAATGACAATATATGCTGCACAGCGTCATAAAAGCATATGAAAATAGAAAGCTCTCTATTAAATGTAAATACATAAACAGCTATAGAAACCTCTACTGTCATAATGATGGTGCACAAAACTTTCACGTTATTGCTATGGAATTTAAAAAATGAAGCAGAAAGCTGCATAAATATGGGTTCATAGATACTCAATAAGAAAAGATAACAAGTGATATTAATAACAAAGTGGGGGTATAAAGAGGTAAAGCTTTGCATTCCATTGAAATATAGTCATTATATATTGTCATAACTTTAAGATGTTTTATGAAGTCTTTATTTCTCAAGATGATTACAAAAAAACCTGTAGATGGTATGCAGAAGCAAATGAGAAAGAAATTGAATCATGTCACTACAAAATCAATGAAGAAAAATAAAGCAGTAAGAGAAAAAAATGATAAATAACACATCTACAAGAAACACAGAAGACAATTCCAAATAATAATAGTAACTTCATTAACTACAGTAATTACTTCAAATACAAAAAGTTAAATACCTTAAACAAAATGCAGAAAATGATTTAATGGATTAAGAACAAAGAAGATCCAGCAATGTACTCTCTACAAGAGTCATTTTAGCTCTAAGGACCCAAATAAGTTGAAAGTAGCAGTATAAAGAAAATATATTTTATGCAAAGAGTAGCTACAATTGGAGGGGCATGGTCATAATTATATTAAACAAAATATATTTTAAGTTAAAAATTTTAAAAAGAGACAGATTGTTATTAAGTAACGGTGACATGGATTAACTTGCAAGAAATCCATAACAATAATTTAGAAATCATATATATAATTTGAAAAATCTGCAAAAATATACCATTGGGATTTTGATAAAAATTACATTAAATTTTTATATTACTATAAATAACACTGATATCTTTCTTATTTTTTTTTTTGGAGATAGAGTTTCTGTCTCCCAGGCTGGAGGACAATGGCACGATCTCGCGATTGGCTCACTTCAACCTCCACCTCCCAGGTTCAACTGATTCTCGTCTTTCAAATATGTAAAACCAATATTGACAGAAGTCAAGCAAGAAATATATAGCAACACAACAATTGCGGACTCCAAGACTCCACTTTCAATAATGACTAGAATAGTCAGATGTAATATCAGTAAGAAAGCCAAACCTGAACATTATAGACCTAACAAGCATTTACAGAACTCTGCGATCGAAAGCAGCAAAATATGCAATATTCTCAATCACACATGGCACATTCTGTTAGGATACATGTCTTATTAAATTTAAGAAAACTGAAGTCATGCAATGTAAATGAAACTAGAAATCAAAAGCAAGAAAATGTTTCAGATACGTAAATAAGAGGAAATTAAGCAAGATCTTACATATAGTCTTGCTCAAGTGTCAGGTGATTTAATATTGTTAAGATGTCAGGGCCGGCACGTGACTCATGCCTGTAATCCCAGGACTTTGGGAGGCCAAAGTGTGTGGATCACTTGAGATCAGAAGTTTGAGACTAGCCTGGCCAACATGGCAAAACCCTATCTCTACTAAAAATACAAAAGTTAGCTATACATGTTGGTGCATGACTGTAATCCCAGCTACTCTGGTGGCTGAGACTGGAGAATTGCTTGAACATGGGAAGCAGAGCTTGCAGTGAGCACAGCTCACACCACTGCCCTTCAGCCTGAGTGACTCACTAAAACTCCATCTCCAAAGGAAAAAAAAAAAGTTGTCAGTATTACCCATGATGATATAAAAATGTAATGTAATTTTCATCTAAATCCCAATGGTATTTTTTTTGCAGAATTTTTGTGTATAATTCTAAAAGTTGTTTAGGAACTGTGACTAGGCAAACACCCTTTAAAAAGGACAAAGAGTTATTACATTTTCTGATTTAAAATCATGATACAAAGCTACAAAAATAAAAACAATATGGTATTGCCACAAAAACGGATACATAGATGATGAAACAGAATAGACATCCTGGAAATAAACCCTCGCATACGTGATAAAATAATCTTCCATATGCTTTCCATGACCATGCAATAGAAAAATAAGAATCTCTTTAACAAAGAATTTTCAAAATTGAATGTTTACAGAGCAAAAATAAAGTTGGATGCTTCTTTTGTATTATACATAAAAAGAAAAGTTGTTTTATAATGGATTTAATGCTTAAACATAAAAACTAATAAAATTCTTAGAAGTAAACATAGGGGAAAAGTTTATGACATAAGTCTTAAAACTTTGCTTAAGTATGACATCAAATTCATAAGAAACAAGGAAAAGAACAAAAAAGAAAGGAACTACATTAACCTTCAAGTATTCTACACATCAAGGAAAAATTTAGTGGCATACAAATGTCACCTAATAAGTGGGTGAAACCTGGGCATGCTGGCTCATGCCTATAATTCTAGAAATTTAGGAGGCCAAGTCAGAACGATCATTTGAGGCCAAAAGTTTGAGACTAGCCATGAAAATATATCAAGACCCTGTCTTGTATAGGGTAATATATGTGCATACATACATACATATAACAAAAAAGTGTAAAAATATTTTCTAATCACATATTTCGTAGGTGTTAATTTCCAAAAGATATAAACTTCTAAAATTCAACAACAACAAAATGTTAATAACTTGATTTAGAATGGTAAATGTTTGAAATGACCTTTCTCCAAAGAAGACATAGAAATGACTAGGTATTTAAAAGGATACTCGTCCGAGGGCAGGACTATGGGAGGCTGCCCTGTACGGAAAATAAGAAGAAATGGCAGTAAAGAGGGCAACCATCATTCCACCCAGCCCAAAAGGAATAAGAGAAACCCTATCTTTCAGGATTCTCAAGACACAGTTTTCATGGAGTGATAATGAAAGGAGCAGCAGCCGCCTTAATATCCCAGAGAGAGCAGGTGGACCAGAAAGCAACTTAAACCAGATTGTTACTGAACCCAATGCAAACTTTCCCCAGTTCTTGCATGAGGGGTATGTACCATGCCAAGGTCTTTACTCCCATATCAACCAGACCTTGAAGGAGGCTCACTTCAACAGCCTGCAGCAGTGAGGGCAAGCTCCAACATGATGAATTAGGACTTCCTTATTCCAACCTAAACTGTGTTTATAAAAGTAATTGCATACAAACTAAAAAAAAAGTCTATTGGTTTTTAAGTCTAAATTTTAAGTAACAAGTTAATGGGCAGTAGTTTAATTGGGGTTTTACTTCACTGCTATACTTTTAAAGGGGCTGTGAATAAATGTTTATGAAATTAAAAAAATAAAAAATAAAAGGATACTCGACATCACTCTTCTAGAAAAATGCAAAGCAAAGTCACAATAATCTACGGCCTCAAGCCGATATTTAAAATAGTATGACAGCTCTTCAAAAAATTTAAAATGAGATTATTATATAATCCAGCAAACCCCCTTCTGGCTATGTACTTAAAATGTACAACGCAGATCTGGAAGAGATATTTGCACAACCAAATTTATTGCAATATTATTAACACAAGCCAAAAGGCAGAAACAATCCAGATGTCCCTTGACCAATGAACAGATTAATAACAAGTGGCACATACACAAAGTCGAATATTATTCAGTCTTTAAAAAGACACATTATATGATAATTCTGGAGAAGATCATGTTAATTGAAATAAGCCAGGAACAAAGTGACAGTCTATGATTCCATTCATAATCAGGTATCTTAAGTAGATAAACTCATAGGAAAAAAAAGTTAGAATGGTGCTTGTCAAGGACTGAAGAGATGGTAAAATGGGCAGTTGTTTTATTTTTTATTTTTTTATTTTTTTTATTTTTTTAAATTATACTTTAAGTTTTAGGGTACATGTGCACATTGTGCAGGTTAGTTACATATGTATACATGTGCCATGCTGGTGTGCTGCACTCACTAACTCGTCGTCTAGCATTAGTTGTATTTCCCAATGCTATCCCTCCCCCCTCCCCCCACCCCACAACAGTCCCCAGAGTGTGATATTCCCCTTCCTGTGTCCATGGGATCTCATTGTTCAATTCCCACCTATGAGTGAGAATATGCAGTGTTTGGTTTTTTGTTCTTGCGGTAGTTTACTGAGAATGATGATTTCCAATTTCATCCATGTCCCTACAAAGGACATGAACTCATCATTTTTTATGGCTGCATAGTATTCCATGGTGTATATGTGCCACGTTTTCTTAATCCAGTCTATCATTGTTGGACATTTGGGTTGGTTCCAAGTCTTTGCTATTGTGAATAATGCCACAATAAACATACGTGTGCATGTGTCTTTATAGCAGCATGATTTATAGTCCTTTGGGTATATGCCCAGTAATGGGATGGCTGGGTCAAATGGTATTTCTAGTTCTAGATCCCTGAGGAATCGCCACACTGACTTCCACAATGGTTGAACTAGTTTACAGTCCCACCAACAGTATAAAAGTGTTCCTATTTCTCCACATCCTCTCCAGCACCTGTTGTTTCCTGACTTTTTAATGATTGCCATTGTAACTGATGTGAGATGGTATCTCATTGTGGTTTTGATTTGCATTTCTCTGATGGCCAGCGATGATGAGCATTTTTTCATGTGTTTTTTGGCTGCATAAATGTCTTCTTTTGAGAAGTGTCTGTTCATGTCCTTTGCCCACTTTTTGATGGGGTTGTTTGTTTTTTCTTGTAAATTTGTTTGAGTTCATTGTAGATTCTGGATATTAGCCCTTTGTCAGATGAGTAGGTTGTGAAAATTTTCTCCCATTTTGTAGGTTGCCTGTTCACTCTGATGGTAGTTTCTTTTGCTGTGCAGAAGCTCTTTAGTTTAATTAGATCCCATTTGTCAATTTTGTCTTTTGTTGTCATTGCTTTTGGTGTTTTGGACATGAAGTCCTTGCCCATGTCTATGTCCTGAATGGTAATGCCTAGGTTTTCTTCTAGGGTTTTTATGGTTTTAGGTCTAATGTCTAACTCTTTAATCCATCTTGAATTGATTTTTGTATAAGGTGTAAGGAAGGGATCCAGTTTCAGCTTTCTACATATGGCTAGCCAGTTTTCCCAGCACCATTTATTAAATAGGGAATCCTTTCCCCATTGCTTGTTTTTGTCAGGTTTGTCAAAGATCAGATAGTTGTAGATATGCGGCATTATTTCTGAGGGCTCTGTTCTGTTCCATTGATCTATATCTCTGTTTTGGTACCAGTACCATGCTGTTTTGGTTACTGTAACCTTGTAGTATAGTTTGAAGTCAGATAGTGTGATGCCTCCAGCTTTGTTCTTTTGGCTTAGGATTGACTTGGCGATGCAGGCTCTTTTTTGGTTCCATATGAACTTTCAAGTAGTTTTTTCCAATTCTGTGAAGAAAGTCCTTGGTAGCTTGATGGGGATGGCATTGAATCTGTAAATTACCTTGGGCAGTATGGCCATTTTCACGATATTGATTCTTCCTACCCATGAGCATGGAATGTTCTTCCATTTGTTTGTATCCTCTTTTATTTCCTTGAGCAGTGGTTTGTAGTTCTCCTTGAAGAGGTCCTTCACATCCCTTGTAAGTTGGATTCTTAGGTATTTTATTCTCTTTGAAGCAATTGTGAATGGGAGTTCACTCATGATTTGGCTCTCTGTTTGTCTGTTGTTGGTGTATAAGAATGCTTGTGATTTTTGTACATTGATTTTGTATCGTGAGACTTTGCTGAAGTTGCTTATCAGCTTAAGGAGATTTTGTGCTGAGACAATGGGGTTTTCTAGATATACAATCATGTCATCTGCAAACAGGGACAATTTGACTTCCTATTTTCCTAATTGAATACCCTTTATTTCCTTCTCCTGCCTAATTGCCCTGGCCAGAATTTCCAACACTGTGTTGAATAGGAGTGGTGAGAGAAGGCATCCCTGTCTTGTGCCAGTTTTCAAAGGGAATGCTTCCAGTTTTTGCCCATTCAGTATGATATTGGCTGTGGGTTTGTCATAGATAGCTCTTATTATTTTGAAATACGTCCCATCAATACCTAATTTGTTGAGAGTTTTTAGCATGAAGGGTTGTTGAATTTTGTCAAAGGTTTTTTCTGCATCTATTGAGATAATCATGTGGTTTTTGTCTTTGGCTCTGTTTATATGCTGGATTACATTTATTGATTTGCATATATTGAACCAGCCTTGCATGCCAGGGATGAAGCCCACTTGATCATGGTGGATAAGCTTTTTGATGTGCTGCTGGATTCGGTTTGCCAGTATTTTATTGAGGGTTTTTGCATCAATGTTCATCAAGGATATTGGTCTATAATTCTCTTTTTTGGTTGTGTCTCTGCCCAGCTTTGGTATCAGAATGATGCTGGCCTCACAAAATGAGTTAGGGAGGATTCCCTCTTTTTCTATTGTTTGGAATAGTTTCAGAAGGAATGGTACTAGTCCCTCCTTGTACCTCTGGTAGAATTCAGCTGTGAATCCATCTGGTTCTGGACTCTTTTTGGTTGGTAAACTATTGATTATTGCCACAATTTCAGATCCTGTTATTGGTCTATTCAGAGATTCAACTTCTTCCTGGTTTAGTCTTAGGAGAGTGTATGTGTCGAGGAATTTATCCATTTCTTCTAGATTTTCTAGTTTATTTGCGTAGAGGTGTTTGTAGTATTCTCTGATGGTAGTTTGTATTTCTGTGGGATCGGTGGTGATATCGCCTTTATCATTTTTTATTGCGTCTATTTGATTCTTCCCTCTTTTTTTCTTTATTAGTCTTGCTAGCAGTCTATCAATTTTGTTGATCCTTTCAAAAAACCAGCTCCTGGATTCATTGATTTTTTGAAGGGTTTTTTGTGTCTCTATTTCCTTCAGTTCTGCTCTGATTTTAGTTATTTCTTGCCTTCTGCTAGCTTTTGAATGTGTTTGCTCTTGCTTTTCTAGTTCTTTTAATTGTGATGTTAGGGTGTCAATTTTGGATCTTTCCTGCTTTCTCTTGTGGGCATTTAGTGCTATAAATTTCCCTCTACACACTGCTTTGAATGCGTCCCAGAGATTCTGGTATGTTGTGTCTTTGTTCTCATTGGTTTCAAAGAACATCTTTATTTCTGCCTTCATTTCGTTATGTACCCAGTAGTCATTCAGGAGCAGGTTGTTCAGTTTCCATGTAGTTGAGCGGTTTTGAGTGAGATTCTTAATCCTGAGTTCTAGTTGAATTGCACTGTGGTCTGAGAGATAGTTTGTTACAATTTCTGTTATTTTACATTTGCTGAGGAGAGCTTTACTTCCAACTATGTGGTCAATTTTGGAATAGGTGTGGTGTGGTGCTGAAAAAAATGTATATTCTGTTGATTTGGGGTGGAGAGTTCTGTAGATGTCTATTAGGTCCACTTGGTGCAGAGCTGAGTTCAATTCCTGGGTATCTTTGTTGACTTTCTGTCTCGTTGATCTGTCTAATGTTGACAGTGGGGTGTTAAAGTCTCCCATTATTAATGTGTGGGAGTCTAAGTCTCTTTGTAGGTCACTCAGGACTTGCTTTATGAATCTTGGTGCTCCTGTATTGGGTGCATATATATTTAGGATAGTTAGCTCTTCTTGTTGCATTGATCCCTTTACCATTATGTAGTGGCCTTCTTTGTCTCTTTTGATCTTTGTTGGTTTAAAGTTTGTTTTATCAGAGACGAGGATTGCAACCCCTGCCTTTTTTTGTTTTCCATTTGCTTCGTAGATCTTCCTCCATCCCTTTATTTTGAGCCTATGTGGGTCTCTGCACGTGAGATGGGTTTCCTGAATACAGCACACTGATGGGTCTTGACTCTTTATCCAATTTGCCAGTCTGTGTCTTTTAATTGGAGAATTTGGTCCATTTACATTTAAAGTTAATACTGTTATGTGTGAATTTGATCCTGTCATTATGATGTTAGCTGGTTATTTTGCTCGTTAGTTGATGCAGTTTCTTCCTATTCTCGATGGTCTTTACATTTTGGCATGATTTTGCAGCGGCTGGTACTGGTTGTTCCTTTCCATGTTTAGTGCTTCCTTCAGGAGCTCTTTTAGGGTAGGCCTGGTGGTGACAAAATCTCTCAGCATTTGCTTGTCTGTGAAGTATTTTATTTCTCCACTTATGAAGCTTAGTTTGGCTGGATATGAAATTCTGGGTTGAAAATTCTTTTCTTTAAGAATGTTGAATATTGGCCCCCACTCTCTTCTGGCTTGTAGGGTTTCTGCCGAGAGATCCGCTATTAGTCTGATGGGCTTCCCTTTGAGGGTAACCCGACCTTTCTCTCTGGCTGCCCTTAACATTTTTTCCTTCATTTCAACTTTGGTGAATCTGACAATTATGTGTCTTGGAGTTGCTCTTCTCGAGGAGTATCTTTGTGGCGTTCTCTGTATTTCCTGAATCTGAACGTTGGCCTGCCCTGCTAGATTGTGGAAGTTCTCCTGAATAATATCCTGCAGAGTGTTTTCCAACTTGGTTCCATTCTCCCCATCACTTTCAGGTACACCAATCAGACGTAGATTTGGCCTTTTCACATAGTCCCATATTTCTTGGAGGCTTTGTTCATTTCTTTTTATTCTTTTTTCTCTAAACTTCCCTTCTCGCTTCATTTCATTCATTTCATCTTCCATTGCTGATACCCTTTCTTCCATTTGATTGCATCGGCTCCTGAGTCTTCTGCATTCTTCACGTAGTTCTCGAGCCTTAGTTTTCAGCTCCATCAGCTCCTTTAAGCACTTCTCTGTATTGGTTATTCTAGTTATACATTCTTCTAAATTTTTTTCAAAGTTTTCAACTTCTTTGCCTTTGGTTTGAATGTCCTCCCATAGCTCAGAGGAATTTGATCGTGTGAAGCCTTCTCTCAGCTCGTCAAAGTCATTCTCCATCCAGCTTTGTTCCGTTGCTGGTGAGGAACTGCGTTCCTTTGGAGGAGGAGAGGCGCTCTGCGTTGTAGAGTTTCCAGTTTTTCTGTTCTGTTTTTTCCCCATCTTTGTGGTTTTATCTACTTTTGGTCTTTGATGATGGTGATGTACAGATGGGTTTTCGGTGTTGATGTCCTTTCTCTTTGTTAGTTTTCCTTCTAACAGACAGGACCCTCAGCTGCAGGTCTGTTGGAATACCCTGCTGTGTGAGGTGTCAGTGTGCCCCTGCTGGGGGGTGCCTCCCAGTTAGGCTGCTCGGGGGTCAGGGGTCAGGGACCCACTTGAGGAGGCAGTCTGCTGGTTCTCAGATCTCCAGCTGCGTGCTGGGAGAACCACTGCTCTCTTCAAAGCTGTCAGACAGGGACATTTAAGTCTGCAGAGGTTACTGCTGTCTTTTTGTTTGTCTGTGCCCTGCCCCCAGAGGTGGAGCCTACAGAGGCAGGCAGGCCTCCTTGAGCTGTGGTGGGCTCCACCCAGTTCGAGCTTCCCGGCTGCTTTGTTTACCTAAGCAAGCCTGGGCAATGGCGGGCGCCCCTCTCCCAGCCTCGCTGCCGCCTTGCAGTTTGATCTCAGACTGCTGTGCTAGCAATCAGTGAGATTCCGTGGGCGTAGGACCCTCCGAGCCAGGTGCGGGATATAATCTCGTGGTGCACCGTTTTTTAAGCCGGTGTGAAAAGCGCAATATTCGGGTGGGAGTGACCCGATTTTCCAGGTGCGTCCGTCACCCCTTTCTTTGACTTGGAAAGGGAACTCCCTGACTCCTTGCACTTCCCAAGTGAGGCAATGCCTCGCCCTGCTTCGGCTCGCGCACGGTGCGCGCACCCACTGGCCTGGGCCCACTGTCTGGCACTCCCTAGTGAGATGAACCGGGTACCTCAGATGGAAATGCAGAAATCACCCATCTTCTGCTTCCCTCAGGCTGGGAGCTGTAGACCGGAGCTGTTCCTATTCGGCCATCTTGGCTCCTCTCTCTTGCTTCACTGTTAAAGGGGTAATGTTCTATCTAAAACTTGGAGTCAGCTGATATAAAAGTTTTAACTCTTAAGTGGAGATAGGGATGCTATGTAGCAAGATTGCTGACCTGCATGCATGGCTTAACACTTGCCTTGCACTGCCTTAAATTGTGACAATAATTTGGTATTATATTGCCACAGAGTCAGTTTTGTCAGTCTTATGATCTCTATTTTAACATTAGTGCTGATGATTTGTTGTACCTAAAGAGCAAACAGAGGTACAACAGCAAACAGGTGTGTAACAAGGCCTGTCTGTCTCCTCCTGTTCTGTGTGGGAGATGCTGATGGGAGAAGAAAAGACACACACACAATACCTTTAAGGGTAAACAACTTTTTTATCCCATGTAAATGGTATTGCAGATATCTATATCTATATCTATATTTTTATCTATCTATATATATGTATGTATGTATCTATCTATCTATATCTATATCTATGTATATGTACTCACCAGACTATACAGCATTCATGGCCAGATGGGGAAGCAACAGCCTAGGCTCCAGAGTTGGCTACTACACCCACCAGACTATGGAGGATTCACTTTTCAGCTTCAAGATCACCGCTGGAAGCTCAGGGACTTCCCATATTCCAGGATAGAAACTCCTCCAGTTCTCCCTCTTGGCAATTGAATGGTCGGGGGGAACTGACCTTAGTGAAAATTGGGTATCTAAATTAGTGGAATTTGAACCTTTGACTGTGCATGAAGTGCTGCAGGGGATTTCAGTCAGCAAAGGAGATGCCAGGGGGATCTCTTAGCATAGATGGTGCTTGCTTACTGCTTATAAGTTAATGTGTTGAGATAGAAATCAATTGCTACAAGATAAATGTAAGCTGGAAAAAGAAAACACTACTCTGACTTCCAGACTGGCCCTGGCTCAATTTCAGGCCTATGTCTTGACTGATCAGGCTCAAAGCTAACAGATTATTGATGAGAAAAACAGCTGTGCAAGTGGTGTGGTCAGGGTAAAACTGAAGAACGAGTCAGCTGGGGCTTGGTGTGGGTAAAAACCCAGTTCCTATCTGAAGAATGGGAAATTAGCCTTTACAAATTTCAAGAACCTGCACAAACTATAAAATTGCTTTGCATCCCATGGAACGCAAGGAAAAAGTCCATTTTACCAAAGGCTATGGTTAAAATACTAGAATTTGCAACCCCTACCACTAAAAAGGAGGCCCAGAAATGTATTGGCTTGTTTGAATTCTGGAGACATCTTCCCGGTTTGGGTAACATCTCACAACCTCTGTATGCAGTCACTAGAAAATATAATGACTTTCACTGGAGGTAGAAAGAGAACACAGCCTTTGAGCAAGCTAAGCAAGCAGTGCATCTGGCCCTGGATGGCCCATATGGGATGGGACAGTAGAATTGCAAATAACTGTCCTGGATTAACATGCTAATTGGAGCCTTTGGCAGAAACAAGATGGGAAGAGGGGACTCTTGGGGTTTCAAACCTGGAAGCTGCCAGAGGCTGGCGAAGCTTATAATCCTTTTGAGAAGCGACTGTTAGCTTGCTATCGGGCTTTGCTGGAAATGGAGACTCTCTGCTTCAACCATGATGTCTTCATAAGGCCTGAAATTCCTATTATGACTTGGGTCATGAGGTCCACCAAAACCCATCGAATAGGGCATGCTGAAGAAAGTAGCATCACATAATGGAATGGTATATACAAGATAGGGCAAAGCCAGGACCAAAGGGGGTATCATTTTTAAAAAATTTGCCAACTCAGAAAGCCACCGAACAAGTCCTGCAGGCAGGGAAAGAGACCTGCCTCATCCAAAGCATCAGAAACATGCTTGGTTTACTGATGGATCTGCCAAATACATTGGTGGGACCCGATGCGGGGAGGCCGTGGCTTATAATCCTGTTAAAAACATAAGTATTTCTGATGAAGGAAGGGATGGGAGCAGCCAGCTGGCTGAGCTAGTAGCCATCTTCCCAGCTATTCAGAAGAAGGCCAGAGGGATTTGACACTTGTATACCAACTCTTGGTCAGTAGCAAATGGTCTTACTATCTAGATGCCTCAATGGCAATGAGGCAAATGGTTAATTGGGAATAAAAAGGTTTGGGGAAAGAATACAGGGAAGATATCTGAATCCCTGTGCACCCTACCATTAACACTGTTATGTTGATGCTCATGCATCTCTGCTTTCTCTTGGCAGACTAATTAATCAGCAGGCAGGTCAACAGGCCAAAATTTCCACCATAACTGCAAACTCAAATGTGGATGAACGGATTACAACACGTGCAAGCATTGGAATGAGAGGCATTATAGTGTATGGTGGTGTAATTGATAGTGATTACCGGTGAGAGTTAAAAATCTTTTAACACAATACCACCGAAAATTCTTTTGCCATAAAGCCGCAGATGCAGATTGCTCAGCTACTGGTAGTACCGTGTCACCAATTAACCCCCGAGGAAATTTCTGCCCCAATAGGAACATCATATAGAACTGGAGGATATGGGTCCACCAAAGTGGGCAGCTTAAATCCTGGGGCCACAGTATGGGGGCAGAAAATGAGGGGAGTAGTAAAATTTTAAAAACAATGTTATGTTCCCCTCTGTTTTTGTTATTAAAAGGAATAGCCTATCGAATGATGGTCAGCACCTGCTTCTTTGTGTCTGAGGCCAAGAATGCATTTAGCAACTGGGTAGCCACCGCTGCAAAAGAAGTCAACTGCAGTTAGAGCTGCCTTTTAGTCGAATTGCCACAGGCTGCAGGGAATGGGCTCCCTTAAAAAATTGTCTCTGCCAACATTTCCAAGTGGTTACATCACTACCAAGGGGGTCAGGAGAATAGCACCTGTAATCCCACCTGGACTTCTTTTAACCAAATCAAAGAGTCTATTTTTGCCCAAGTCTGACAAAAGGAGAAATCCACTTTTGCAATGCATCAAAGGCCTTTGTATCCTACCCAATATACTTGGAAAGACATATACAGGGAACCTACCATACCGGTAGCTGAACTCCATATGGCACCGCACCCCCGCTTTGTCTGGAGGCCTTAAATGGCTCTTTTAATGTTACTCTGGGGTTTCTCCCACCAGACAATTGTCAACACATACTCCAAATCAACAGCATTGTCCCCAATGAAACACAACCTCTTTCCTAAATCTAGATGCTTCCAAACATCACTGGTTACAAATGCGCCAGAATCCCTGATGGGGTGTACCCTATAACAGTGTTCTCCTCTGCCACTGATACAATTCTGTTTCAGCAAAAAATTTAAATATTAAGCTTACATGTAGAAAAAGCTCTTAATGGTAGTAGCACTGGACTTATGTTGTTATCAGAGGAATTTGCTCAGTTGTGTACTGTTGTGTTGCAAAATCAAATGGCATTAGGTATGCTTACCGCAGCCCAAAGAGCGTTTCAGCCTTGCTGCATACTGAATTTTGTGTGTGTATCCCTGACAGTTCTCACAATATTACTCTCCTCGCCCAAGACATGCAAGGACAAGCAAAACAAAATCTAACTGTCAGGACCCCATCATGAATTGGCTGTCCAACTGGCATTGGCGTTGGCCTTGGTGGGTGCGGTTTTTATTAACTGTGTTTTAATTCTCCTCTGCTTACCCTGCTTCTGTAACCTCTACCAATTATGTATTCCTCGTATATCTGTAAGCGTATTTTCTTACATTTGAGTATCAATTGGGACAGAATACGCAGAAAAAGTTAAATAATATATTTAAACTCAATTGAACATGGACACAAATAATGGTCACCAAGTCTCGGAATAGGTTTTGTGAGCCCCTTGAGGCATTCATCCAGCACTGTTTCAGAGAAATCTCTATTTCAATCTATTCCTATACTTTAGTTATTGAAAAACAACAGACAACGGCAAAAGCAAATTGACCTTTTTGTGTTCCTTTGTGCATGGATGAGTGGCTGACTCTGGAGCCCAGGCTGTTGCTTCTCGGTCTGGTGATGAATCCTCCATAGTCTATCCTCATATATATATATACACACACATTTTTTTCCTTCTCCCCTTCCCACTGCAATTTGCTTATTGTATCAATTTGCTTATTCTATCATTTGCTTATTATATCTGCATTGCCATTTATGTGGGATCGAGTTTGTTGACCTTTAAAGGTATTGTGTGTGTGTGTTTTCTTCTTCCCTGGAGCATCTCCTGTACATAACACCTCTCTTGCTGTCATAGCCAGAAATTCAGTTTTTAAGTTTTTTTCTGGGGTCTTCTTGCTCAAGAGGAAGTATGTTCAGTTGATACGGGGCTTAGAATTTTATTTATAGCTTTTATTACATTCTAAAACCCCCAGCAGAAACAAGTCTTAACAAACACAGATTTTAATTTCTGAACATTCTTCTAATAAGTTTTGCACAGGTAGCGGAACAACTAAAAAAACTGTTTTTTGCATTGATGGTCTACCTCATTACAATTTAACCTCTAAAGGGTGTTTTAGTCAGCTCTAGAGTCTGCTACGGTTAAGGTGAATTTACTGCTTCTTCCCATAATAAAGAATGGTATTTTAAAATAACATAACTTCTATGGCATATATTTTTAAAGCATGACCACAATTTGAATAATTAGAACATTTAAAAATTCGAAATATTGTTATACTGACACTGCACCAAAATTTATCCTTCCAATGATGACAGGGAATTTTTAATAGTTGTTATTTTTATAGTAAAATTAAACTTTAATAAAATAACTGACTTACAAACTTCAGCAAGAAGACACATATTCAGCCAGAGATATCAGTTCCCCTTTAGAAAAAAATACTCACTTCTCATTAAAATCTCTCTGTATCTTACTGATTTCAGATAGAATTTAAATTTCACCTTAATAACAGAAACAAAAGAACTAGTTAATCTAACAAAAACTAATAAACGTATGCCCAAATTTACTGGCAGAATCATGGGTACGTCATATAATAGTAACATTCTACCAGTTTTAAGTAAAATAAATAAGGAAATAATCTTAACAGTGCAACCTACCAGGAGGGGCCTATCCCTACTCCCAGGTGAGTGGGAACCCTGCGCTCTGGGGGGTTGCGCCTCAGCCTCTGGCACCTCTTGTTGGCAGCGTCGCCGTTGCAGGCACAGGGCAGGCGTTGGGGGACGTGCAGTGGGCCAGGCCCAGGCACGTCCTTTGCCAGGGGCTGGGCAGGTGCGGAGAGGGGCGGAGCGGTGCTGCCCTGGTCGAGGGAGCCTCCAGCTCTGGACAGTTTGCTGCCCCTGCCCCAGGGGGGGTTAAAGGAGCTGAGTGGGGAAGCGGAGGGACGAGGGGATTCAGGCCAGGCCAGGTGGCCCTTTAGCCCTGGGTGATGCAGGAGGGGCTGTGGAAGACCAGAGAAGACCCGGAGCAGAAACTGGGAACTGATATCTCTGGCTGAATATTTGTCCTCTTGCTGAAGTTTGAAAGTCAGTTATTTCATTAAAGTTTAATTTTATTATAAAAATAGCAACTATTAAAAATTCCCTGTAGTCACTGGAATGATAATTTTTGGTGCCGTTTCAGCATAATAATCTTTGGAGTTTTTAGATATTCTAATTATTCAAATTGCGGCCATGTTTCAAAATATATGCCATATAATTTTATGGCATTCGCCTCTGTGTCCCTGTTGGCTCAGGAAACGTGCTTCTTCCTCCTTCCGCAGACTCGGATCAGGCCGCCCTTCCTCCTGGCGTCTGAGGCGGGCATGGGGACAGCCTGCCAGCGAATATCCTGACAATGCCCGGCCTGTGCCCTGTGCTCAGCGTGGGGTCCTGGTTGGTGCCCCTCAGAGCCCCTCACAAAGTAGCGCGACAGGTGTGGAAGGACCCAGCACCCGGCAGCGGTGAGCAGATGGATGCTCCAGGGATGTGGGGCAGCTGGCAGTCAAGAACCCACTGCCAAATTCAATGGCATAACGTTGCATATTTTTCCCTTATATTTTTGTGTAGGAGTTTTACAGCTTTCAGCCTTACATTTGTATTTTCTTAACATAGGATTCCAGAACAATGCTACGAGGGTCTGAATGCCTGTCCCACACGTAGGATTCCAGAACACATCAGCTGTGGTCTGAATGATTGCCCCTCACATATGATTCCAGAACAGTCCTGCTGTGGTCTGAATGATTGTACCTCACACAGGGTTCTAGAGCACTCCTCCCCTAGTCTGAATGTTTGTCCGTCAGACAAGATTCCAGAACACTGCTGCTGGGTTCTGAGTGTTTGTCCCTCACATACAATTCCAGAACACTGCTAGGTGGGTCTGAATGTTTGTACCTCACATAAGATTCCAGAACACTGTTATGAGGGTCTGAATCTTTGTCCCTCACGTAGGACTCCAGAACACTCCTGCTGTGTTCTGAATGTGATTTCCTAACATAGGATTACAGAACAATGCTACGAGGGTCTGAATGCTTGTCCCACAAGTAGGATTCCAGAACACTCCAGCTGTGGTCTGAATGATTGTCCCTCACATAGGATTCCAGAACACTGCTGCTGGGTTCTGAGTGTTTCTCCCTTACATAGGATTCCACAACAGTGCTACGAGGGTCTCAATGTTTGTCCCGCACATAGGACTCCAGAACACTCCTGCTGTGTTCTGAATGTATTTTCCTAACCTAGGAATCCAGAACAGTGCTACGAGAATCTGAATGCTTGTCCCACACTTAGGATTCCAGGAGATGCCAGCTGTGGTCTGAATGATGGTCCCTCATATAAGATTCCAGAACAATGCTGCTGGGTTCTGAGTGTTTGTCCCTCACATAGGACTGCAGAACACTGCTACGAGGGTCTGAATGATTGTACCTCACATAGGATTACGGAACACTCCTGCTCTGGTCTGAATGTTTGTCCCTCAGATGGGATTCCAGAACACTGAGTTTGGGATCTGAGTGTTTGTCCCTCACGTATGACTCCAGAACACTGCCTCATGGTTGTAAATGTTTGTCCATCACATAGGATTCCAGAACACTGCTATGAGGGATTGAAAGTTTGTCCCGCACATAGGACTCCAGAACATTCCTGCTCTGCTCTGAATGTTTGTCCCTCAGATAGGATTCCAGAACACAGCTTCTGGGTTCTGAGTATTTGTCCCTCACATAGGATTCCAGAACACTGCTACGTGGGCCTAAATGTTTGTCCCTCACATAGGAGTCCAGAACACTGCTGCTTTGGTCTGAATGTTTGTCCCTCACTTAGGATTCCAGAACACTCCTTCTGTGGTCTGAAAGTTTCTCCCTCACAAAGGATTACAGAACACTGCTCCTGGTTTCTGAGTGTTTGTCTTTTACATAGGATTCCAGAACACTGCTACGAGGGTCTGAATGTTTGTCCCTCATATAGGATTCCAGAACACTACTGCTGTGGTCTGAATACTTGACCCTTATATAGGATTCCAGAACATTCCTCCTGTCATCTGGGTGTTTGTGCCTCACAAGGGTTTCCAGATCTATCCTGCTGTGTTCTGAATGTTTCCCCCTCAGATAGGATTCCAAAACATTTCTTCTCTGGTCTGAGTGTTTCTCCCTCAAATAGGATTCCAAAACACTGCTACTGGAGTCTGAATGTTTGTCCCTCACATAGGATTCCAGAACACTGCTACGAGGGTCTGAATTATTCTCCCTGACATAGCATTCCAGAACACTCCTGCTGTGTTCCGAATGTTTGTCTCTCACTCAGGATTCCAGAACACTCGTGCTGTGGTCTGAAAGTTTGTCCCTCACTTAGGATTCCAGAACACTGCTGTTGGTTTCTGAGTGTTTGTACTTAACGTAAGATTCCAGAGCACAGCTACTTGGGTCTAAATGTTTGTCCCTCAGATAGGATTCCAGAACACTGCTAAGAGGTTCTGAATGTTTGTCCCTCACATAGCATTTAAGAACACTGCTACGAGGGTCTGAATGTTTTCCCTCACATAGGATCGAAGAGCACTGCTGCTGGGATCTGAATGTTTTTGGGCACATAGGATTCCAGAACTCTCCTGATGTGGTCTTTATGTTTGTCCCTCACATAGAATTCCAGAACACTGCTGCTGAGTTCTGCTTGTTTGTCCCTCATTTAGGATTCAAGAACACTCCTGCTGTGTTCTGAATGTGTGTCTCTCACATAGGATTCCAGAACATTGCCAGGAGGGTCTAAATGTTTCTCTGTCACCTAGGATTATAGAACACTGCTGCTGGGTTCTGAGTGTTTCTCCCTCACTTTGGATTCCAGAACAGAGCTTCGGGGGTCTGAATATCAGTCCCTCACATAGGACTCCAAAACACTCCTGCTGTGGTCGGAAAGTTTGTCCCTCACATTGGATTCCAGAACGCTGATGCTGTGGTCTGAATGTTTGCCCCTCATATAGGATTCCAGAATACTCCTGATGTAATCTGAATGTTTGTACCTCACATAGGATTCCTGAACACTCCTGCTGTGGTCCGAATGTTTGTCCCTCACATGGCATTCCAGAGCACTGCTGCTGGGGTCTGAATGTTTGTCCTTGACATAGGATTTCACAACACTGCTAAGTGGGTCTGAATGTTTGTCCCTTACTTAGGATACCAGAAAACTCCTGCTGTACTGTGAATGTTTATTCCTCAAATACAATTCCAGAACACTGCTTCTGTAGTATGAAAGGCTGTCCCTCACAGAGGATTCCAGAGCACTGGTAGGAAATTCTGAATGTGAGTCCCTAACATAGGATTCCAGAACACTGCTGCTGGGTTCTGAGGGTTTGTACCTGCCTTAGGATTTCAGGACACTGTTACGAGGGTCTGATTGTTTCTCCCTCACATAGGATTCCAGAACACTGCTGCTGGGTCTGAATGTTTGTCCCTCACATAGGATTCCAGAACACTGCTAAGAGTGTCTCAATGTTTGTCCCTCACATAGGATTCCAAAACACTGCTACGAGGTTCTGAATGTGAGTCCCTCACATAAGATTCCAGAACACTGCTGCTGTGGTCTGATTGTTTGTCCCTCACATAGGATTCCAGAACACTGCCGCTGTGGTCTGAATGTTTGTCCCTCACATAGGATTCCAGAACACTCCTGCTGTGGTCTGAATGTTTGTCCCTCACTTAGGATTCCAGAACAGTACTGTGGGGTTCTGAGTGTTTGTCCCTCACGTATGATTCCAGAACACTGCTACTTGGGTCTAAATATTTGTCCCTCACATAGGATTCCAGAACACTGCTGCTGGGGTCTGAATGTTTGTCCCTTACATAGGAGTCCAGAACACTCCTGTTGTAGTCTGAATGTTTGTCCCTCACATAAGATTCCAGAACACTGCTGCTGGATTCCGAGTGTTTGTCTCTCACATAGGATTCCAGAACACTCCTACGGGGGTCTGAATGTTTGTCCCTCACATAGGATTCCAGAACATTGCTAAGAGGGTCCGCATTATTGTCCCTCACATAAGATTCCAGAACAATGCTAACAGGGTCTGAATGTTTGTCCCTCACATAAGATTCCAGAACCCTGCTGCAGTGGTCTGAATGGCTGATCCTCACATAGGATTCCAAAACACTCCTGCTGTGGTCTGGGTGTTTGTTCCTCAGGTGAGATTCCAGAACAATCTTGCTGTGGTCTGAATGTGTCTCCCTCACATAGGATTCCAAAACATTCCTGCTGTGATCTGAGTGATTGTTCCTCAAATAGGATTCCAGAACACTGCTACTCGGGTCTGAAAGTTTGTCCCTCACATAGGATTCCAGAACACTGCTACCAGGGTCTGAATTATTCTCCTTCACATAGGATTCCAGAACACTCCTGCTGTGATCTGAAAGTGTGTCCCTCCCCTAGGATACCAGAACACTGCTGTTGTGTTCTGAGTGTTTTTCCCTCATGTAAGATTCCACAACACTGCTGTTGTGTTCTGAGTGTTTTTCCTTCATGTAAGATTCCAGAACACTGCTACGTGGGTCTAAATGATTGTGCTTCAAATACGATTCCAGAACACTTCTTCTGGGGTCTGAAAGTTTGTCCCTCACATCGGATTCCAGAACACTCCTGCAGTGGTCTGAAAGTTTGTCCCTCACATAGTATTCCAGAACAATGATGCTGTGTTCTGAATGTGTGTCCCTCACATAGGATTCCAGAACACTCCTTCTGTGATCTGAATGTTTTTCCCTGACAAAGGATTCCAGAACACTGCTGCTGGGTTCTGATTGTTTGTTCTTCACTTAGGATTCCAGAACACTGATATGAGGGTCTGATGTTTGTCCCTCATATAGGATTCCAGAACACTGCTGCTGGGTTCTGACTGTTTCTCCTTCACATAGGATTCCAGAACACTGCCTTGACGGTCTGAATGATTATACCTCACATAGGATTCCAGAACACTCCTGCCCCGGTCTGAATGTTTGTCCCTCATATGGGATTCCACAACACTGCTGCTGGGTTTTGAGTGTTTTTCCCTCACATAGGATTCCAGGACACTTCTAAGAGGGTCTTAATGTTTTTCCCTCACATAAGATTCCAGAACACTGCTACGAGAGTCTGAAAGTTTGTCCCTCACATAGGATTTCTGAACACTGCTATGAATGGTCTGAATGTTTGTCCCACACAAAGGAGTCCAGAACACTCCAGCGGTGTTCTGAATGTATTTTCCTCACATAGGATTCCAGAACAATGCTATGAGGGTTTGCATGCTTGCCCCACACGTAGGATTCCAGAACATCCCAGCTGTGGTCTGAATGATTGTCCTCACATAGGATTCCAGAACACTCCTGCTGTGGTGTGGGGGTTTGCGCCACACATGGAATTCCAGAACAATCCTGCTGTGGTTTGAATGTTTTTCCCTCACATAGGACTCCAGAACACTCCTGCTGTGGTCTGAGTTTTCTCCCTCAAATAGGATTCCAGAGCACTGCTAAGGCGGTCTGAATGTTTGTCCCTCACGTAACATTCCAGAGCACTGCTACGAGGTTCTGAATGTTTATCCCTTCCATAGGATTCCAGAACCCTACTGCTGTGGTCTGAGTGGTTGACCCTCACATATGATTCCAGAACACTACTGCTGTGGTCTGGGTGTTTGTGCTTCGCATGGGATTCCAGAACAATCCTGCTGTGGTCTGAATGTTTCTCACTCACATAGGATTCCAAAACATTCCTGATGTGGTCTGAGTGTTTGTCCCTCAAATAGGACTCCATAACACTACCATTGGGGTATGAATGTTTGTTCCTCACATAGGATTCCAGAACACTGTTACGAGGGTCTGAATTATTCTCCCTCACATAGCTTTCCAGAATACGCCTGCTGTGGTCTGAATGTTTGTCCCTCAATTAGGATTCCAGAACACTGCCGTTGGGTTCTGAGTGTCCGTGCCTCACGTATGATTCCAAAACACTGCTACGTGGGTCTAAATGTTTGTCCCACACATAGGACTCTAGAACACCGCTATGAGGGTCTGAATATTTATCCCTCACATAGGACTTCAAAACACTCCTGCCGTGCTCTCAATGTATTTTCCTCACATAGGACTCCAGAACAATGCGACGAGGGTCTGGATGCTTGTCCTACCCTTAGGATTCCAGAACACCCCAGCTGTGGTCTGCATGTTTGTCCCTCAGATAGGATTCCAGAACACTGCTGCTTGATTTGTTTGTCCCTCAGAGATGATTCCAGAACACTGCTATGAGGGTCTGAATGTTTGTTCCTCACATGAGATTCGAGAACACTCCTGCTGTGGTCTGAATGTTTGTCCCAAACCTAAGATTCCAGAACACTGTTGCTGGGTTCTGAGTGTTTGTCTCTCACATAGGATTCCAGAACAAATGTACAAGGGTCTGAATTATTTTCCCTCACATAGGATTCCAGAACACTCCTGCTCTTGTCTGAATATTTGTCCTTCACAAAGGATTCCAGAACACTACTGCTGTGATCTGAATGGTTGACCCTCACACAGGATTCCAGAACATTTCTGCTGTGGTCTGGGTGTTTGTGCCTCACATGGGATTCCAGAACAATCCTCCTGTGGTCTTAATGTTTCTACTTCACATAAGATTCCAAAACATTTATGCTGTGGTCTGAGTGTTTGTCCCTCAAAAAGGATTCCAGAATCCTGTTAGGAGGGTCTGAATTATTCTCTCTGATAGGATTCCAGAACACGGCTACGAGAGTCTGAATGTTTGTCCCTCACAAAGTACTCCAGAAGACTCCTGATGTGTTCTGAATGTATTTTCCTGACATAGGATTCCAGAACAATGCTACGAGTTTCTGAATGCTTGTCCCACACATAGGATTCCAGAACACCCCCGCTGTGGTCTGAATGATTGTCCCTCTCATAGGATTCCAGAACACTGCTGCTGTGTTTTGAGATTTTCTCCCTCACATAGGATTCCAAAAGACTGCTACGAGGTTCTGAATTATTCTCCATCACATGGGATTCCAGAACACCCCTGCTGTCTTCTGAATGTTTCTCCCTCACATAGTGTTCCATAACACTACTGCTGGGTTCTGAGAGTTTTTCCCTCACATAGGATTCCAGAACACTGCTACGAGGGTCAGAATGTTTGTCCAACCCATTTAATTCCAGAACAATCCCGCTCTTGTCTGAATGTTTGTCCCTCACATAAGATTCCAGAACTCTGCAGCTGGGTTCTGATTCTTTGTCTCTCACGTAGGATTCCAGAACACTTCTACGAGGGTCTGAATGTCTGTCCCTCACATAAGATTCCAGAACACTGCTGCTGGGATATGAGTGTTTGTCCCTCACATAGGATTACAGAACACGGCTACGAGGGTCTGTATTTTTCTCCTTGACATAGGATTCCAGAACACTCCTGCTGTGGTCTGGATGTTTCTCCCTCACTTAGGATTCCAATACAATACTGCTGTGGTCTGAATGGTTGTCTCTCACATAGGATTCCAGAACAATCATGCTGTCATCTGAGTGTTTGTCCCTCAAATAGGATTCCAGAACACTGCTATGAAGGTCTGTATTATTCTCCCTCACATAGGATTCCAAAACAATGCTAGAAGGGCCTGAATGTTTTTCCCACACTTAGGATTCCGGAACACCCCAGCTGTGGTCTGAATGACTGTCCCTAACATAGGATTCCTGAAAACTGCTGCTGGGTTCTGAGTGTTTTTCCCTCACATAGGATTCCAAAACACTGCTACGAGGGTCTGAATGTTTGTCCCTTACAAAGGATTCCAGAACACTACTGCTGTGGTCTGAATATTTGATCCTCACATAGGATTCCAAAACACAGCTGCTGGGTTATTAGTGTTTCCCCCTCGCATAGGATTCCAGAACACTGCTAAGAGGGTCTGAATGTTTGTCCCTCACATAAGATTCCTGAGCACTGCTACGAGGGTCTGAATGTTTCTGCTTCACATAGCATTTCCAGAACACCAATGCTGTGGTCTGAATGGTTGAACCTCACATAGGATTCCAGAACACTCCTGCTGTGGTATGGATGTTTGTGTCTCACATGGGATTCCAGAACAGTCATGCTGTCATCTGAGTGTTTGTCCCTCAAATAGGATTCCAGAGCCCTGCTACGACGGTCTGTATTATTCTCCCTCACATAGGATTCCAGAACACGGCTACGAGGGTCTGAAGATTTGTCCCACACATAGGACTCCAGAACACTCCTGCTGTGTTCTGAATGCATTTTACTAACATAGGATTCCAGAACAATGCTACGAGGGTCTGAATGCTTGTCCCACACGTAGGATTCCGGAACACCCCAGCTGTGGTCTGAATGACTGTCCCTAACATAGGATTCCTGAACACTGCTGCTGGGTTCTGAGTGTTTTTCCCTCACATAGGATTCCAAAACACTGCTACGAGGGTCTGAATGTTTGTTCCTCACAAAGGATTCCAGAACACTACTGCTGTGGTCTATTTGACCCTCACATAGGAATCCAAAACACTGCTGCTGGGTTCTGAGTGTTTCTCCCTCGCATAGGATTCCAGAACACTGCTACGAAAGTCTGAATGTTTGTCCCTCACATAAGATTCCAGAACACTACTGCTGTGGTCTGAATGGTTGACCCACCCAAAGGATTCCAGAACACTCCTGCTGTGGTCTGTGGGTTTTTGCCTCACATGGGATTCCAGAAGAATCCTGCTGTGATCTGAGTGTTTCTCCTTCAAATAGGATTCCTGAACACTGCTACGAGGGTCTGAATTATTCTCCCTCACATAGGATTCCAGAACACTCCTGTTATGGTCTGAATGTTTGTCCCTCACTTAAGATTCCAGAACACTGATGTTGGGTTCTGACTGTTTGTCCCTCAAGTACGATTCCAGAACCCTGCTACGTGGGTCTAAATGTATGTCCCTCACATAGGATTCCTGAAGACTCCTACAAGGGTCTGAATGTTTCTCCCGCACATAGGACTCCAGAACACTGCTATGAGGGTCTGAATGCTTGTCCCACACGTAGGATTAAAGAACAACTCAGCTGTGGTCTGAATGATTGTCCCTAACATGGGATTCCAGAATACTACTCCTGGGTTCTGAGTGTTTGTCCCTCACATAGGATTCCAGAACACTGCTATGAGGGTCTGAAAATTGTCCCTCACATAGGATTCCAGAACACTGCTACGAGCATCTGATTTATTGTCCCTCACATAGGATTCCAGAACACTCCTGCTGTGGTCTGAATATTTGTCCCTCACATAGGATTCCAGAACACTGCTACGAGGGTCTGTATGTTTGTCCCGCACGTAGGTCTCCAGGACACTACTGCTGTATTCTGAATGTTCTTCCTCAAATAGGATTTCAGAACAATGCTATGAGGGTCTGAATGTTTGTCCCACACGTAGGGATCCAGAAAAATCCCAGCTGTGGTCTGGATGACTGTCCCTCACATAGGATTCCAGAACACTGCTGCTGGATTCTGAGTGTTTCTCCCTCACATAGGATTCCAGAACACTGCTGTTGGATTCTGAGAGTTTTTCCCTTACATAAGATTCCAGAAAACAGTTATATGGGTCTATATGTTTATCCCTCACAGAGGATTCCAGAGCACTGCTACGAAGGTCTGAATGTTTGTCCCTCACATAGGATTCCAGAGCACTGCTACAGGGGTCTGAATTATTCTCTTCACATAGGATTCCAGAACACTCCTGCTGTTGTCTGAATGTTTGTCCCTCACTTAGGATTCCAGAACACTGCTGTTGGGATTTGAGTGTTTGTCCCTCAAGTATGATTCCAGAACCCTGCTACGTGGGTCTAAATGTTTGTCCCTCACATAGGATTCCAGAACACTGCTACGAGGGTCCTAATGTTTGTCCTGCACATAGGATTCCAGAACACTCCTGCTGTGTTCTGATTGTGTTTTCCTCACATAGGATTCCAGAACAATGCTACGAGTGTCTGAATCTTTGTCCCAAACTTGGATTCCAGAACCCACCAGCTGTGGTCTTTCTGATGGTCTCACATAGGATTCCAGAACACTGATGCTGGGTTCTGAGTGTTTCTCCCTCACATAGGAATCCAGAACCATCCTGCTGTTGTCTGAATGTGTGTCCCTCACTTAGGTTTCCAGAATACTGCTGTTGGGTTCTGAGTGTTTGTCCCTCACGTACGATTCCAGAACACTGCTACGTGGGCCTAAATGTTTGTCCCTCACATAGGGTTCCAGAACACTGCTATGAGGGTCTGAATATTTGTCCCACACTTAGGTTTCCAGAACACCCCAGCTATGGTCTGAATGATTGGCCCTCACATAGGATTCTGGTACACTGCTTCTGGGTTCTGAGAGATTCTCTCTCACATAGGATTTCAGGTCACTGCTGCTGGGGTCTGAATGTTTGTCCCTCACATAGGATTCCAGAAAACTGCTACGAGGTTCTGAATTATTCTCCCTCACATAGGATTCCAGAACACTCCTCCTGTGGTCTGAATGTTTGTCCCTTACTTAGGATTCCAGAACAGTGCTGTTGGGTTCTGAGTGTTTGTCCCTCACGTACTATTCCAGAACACTGGTAAGTGGGTCTAAATGTTTGTCCCTCACTTAGGATTCCAGAACACTGCTGTTGGGTTCTGAGTGTTTGTCCCTCACATACTATTCCAGAACACTGGTACGTGGGTCTAAATGTTTGTCCCTCTCATAGGATTCCAGAACACTACTACGAGTGTCTGAATGTTTGTTCCTCACATAGGATTCCAGAACACTCCTGCTGTGGTCTCAATGTTTGTCCCTCACTTAGGATTCCAGAACACTCTTGCTGTGGTCTGAATGTTTGTCCCTCACTGAGGATTCCAGAACACTGCTGTTGGGTTCTGAGTATTTGTCCCTCACGTAGGGATCCAGAACAGTGCTACATGGGTCTAAGTGTTTCTCCCAGATATGGGATTCCAGAACACTGCTACGAGAGTTTAAATGTTTGTCCCTCACATAGGATTCCAGAACACTGCTACGAGGGACTGAATGATTGTACCTCACATAGGATACCAGAACACTCCTGCTCTCGTCTGAATGTTTGTCCTTCTAATAGGATTCCAGAACACTGCTGCTACTTTCTGAGTGTTTATCCCTCACATAGGATGCCAGAACACTGCTGCTGGGGTCTGAGATTTTGTCTCTCACATAACATTCCAGAACTCTGCTGCTGGGTTCTGAGTGTTTGTCCCTATCATACGATTCCAGAACACTGTTGCGAGGTTCTGAATGTTTGTCCCTCACATAGGATTCCAGGACACTACTGCTGTGGTCTGAATGGTTGACCCTCACATAGGATTCCAGAACACTCCTGCTGTGGTCTGGGTGTTTGTGCCTCACATGGGATTCCAGAATAATCCTGCTGTGGTCTGAATATTTCTCCCTCACATAGGATTCCAAAACATTCCTGCTGTGGTCTGAGTGTTTGTTCCTCACTTAGGTTTCGAGAACTCTCCTGCTGTGGTCTGAATGTTTGTCCCTTACATAGGAATCCAGATCACTGCTTCTGGGTTCTGAGTGTTTGTCCTTCACATAGGATTCCAGAACACTGCTACGAGAGTCTCAATGTTTGTCCCTCACGTAAGATTCCAGAACACTGCTACGAGGATCTGAATGTTTGTCTCACACGTAGGATTCCAGAACACCCTAGCTGTGGTCTGAATGATTGCCCCACACAAAGCATTCTACAACAGTGTCACTGGGTTCTGAGTGTTGTCCCTCAAATAGAATTCAGAACACTGCTACGAGGGTCTGAATGTTTGCCCCTCTAATAGGATTCCAGAACACTGCTACGAGGATCTGAATTATTGTCCCTTATGTAGGATTCCATAACACTGCTTTTGGGTTCTGAGTGTTTTTCCCTCATGTTTGATTCCAGAACAGTGTTACATGGGTCTAAATGTTTGTCCCTCACATAGGACTCCAGAACACTGCTACGAGGGTCTGAATGTTGGTCCCTCACATAGGATTCCAGAACACTGCTACAAGCGTCTAAATTATTCTCCCTCACATAGGATACCAGAACTCACATGCTGGAGTCTGAATGTTTGTTCCTCACTTACGATTCCGGAACACTCCTGCTGTGGTCTGAATGTTTGTCCCTCACTCAGGATTACAGAACACTGCTGTTGGATTCAGAGTGCTTGTCCCTCAAGTACAATTGCAGAGCACTGCTACTTGGGTTTAAGTGCTTGTCCCTCACATAGGACTCCAGAACACTGCTACGAGGGTCTGAATGTTGGTCCCTCACATAGGATTCCAGAACACTGCTACAAGCGTCTAAATTATTCTCCCTCACATAGGATACCAGAACACACATGCTGGAATCTGAATGTTTGTTCCTCACTTACGATTCCGGAACACTCCTGCTGTGGTCTGAATGTTTGTCCCTCACTCAGGATTACAGAACACTGCTGTTGGATTCAGAGTGCTTGTCCCTCAAGTACAATTGCAGAGCACTGCTACTTGGGTTTAAGTGCTTGTCCCTCACATAGGACTCCAGAACACTGCTACGAGGGTCTGAATGTTGGTCCCTCACATAGGATTCCAGAACACTGCTACAAGCGTCTAAATTATTCTCCCTCACATAGGATACCAGAACACACATGCTGGAATCTGAATGTTTGTTCCTCACTTACGATTCCGGAACACTCCTGCTGTGGTCTGAATGTTTGTCCCTCACTCAGGATTACAGAACACTGCTGTTGGATTCAGAGTGCTTGTCCCTCAAGTACAATTGCAGAGCACTGCTACTTGGGTTTAAGTGCTTGTCCCTCACATAGGATTCCAGAACACTGCTACAAGGGTCTGAATGTTTGTCCCGTACATAGGACTCCAGAACACACCTGCTGTGTTCTGAATGTGTTTCCCTAACCTAGGATTCCGGAACAATGCTACGAAGTTCTGAATGCTAGTCCCACACGTAGAATTCCAGAGCACCCTAGCTGTGCTCTGAATGATTTTCTCTCACATAGGATTCCAGAACCCTGCTGCTGGGTTCTGATGGCTTCTCCCTCACATAGGATTCCAGAAAACTGCTGCGAATGTCTGAATGATTGTAAATCACAAAGGATTCCGTAACACTAATGCTCTCTTCTGAATATTGGTACCTCAGATTGGATTCCAGAACACAGCAGCTGGGTTCTGAGTGTTTGTCCCTCAGAAAGGATTCTAGAACACTCCTACGAGGGTCTGAAAGTTTGTCCCTCACATAGGATTCCAGAGCACTACTGCTATCAACTGAAAATTTGACCCTCACATAGGATTCCAGAACACTCCTGCTGTTGTCTGTGCCTCACTTGGTATTCCAGAACAATCCTGCTGCAGTCTGAACGTTTCTCCATCACATAGGATTCCAAAACATTGCTTCTGTTGTCTGAGTGTTTGTCCCAAAATAGAATTCCAGGACACTGCTGCTGGGTTGTGACTGTTTGTCCCTCACAAAGCATTCCATAACACTGCTGCCGTCGTCTGAATGTTTGTCCCTCAGATACAATTCCAAAACATTCCTGCTGTGGTCTCAATATCTGTTCCTCCCTTAGGATTCCAGAACAAAGCTCTGAGGTTCTCAGTGTTTGTCTCACACTTATGATTCCAGAACGCTGCTGTGTGGGTCTAAATGTTTGTCTCTCACATAGGATTCCAGAGCACTGCTCCTGGGTACTGAATGTTTGTCCATCACATAGGATTCCAGAACACTCCTGTTGTGGTCTGAATGTTTGTCCCTCACGTAGGATTCCAGAACACTGCCGCTGGGTTGTGAGTGTTTGTTCCTGACGTACGATTCCAGAACACTGCTACGTCGGTCTAAATGTCTGTCCCTCACATAGGATTCCAGAACACTGCTCCTTGGGACTGAATGTTTCTCCCTCACATAGGTTTCTAGAACACTCCTGCTGTGGTCTGAATGTTTGTCCCTCACATAAGATTCTAGAACACTGCTGCTTTGTTCTAAAACTTTGCCCCTCACATAAGATTCTAGAACACTGCTGCTTTGTTCTAAAACTTTGCCCCTCACATAGGATTCCAGAACACTTCTAAGAGGATCTGAATGTTTGTCCCTCACATAAGACTCCAGAACACTGCTATTGTGGTCTGAATGTTTGTTCCTCACATAGGATTCCGGAACACTGCTGCTGGGTTCTTAGTGTTTTTCCTTCATATAGGATTCCAGAACACAGCTACGAGGGTCTGAATATTTGTCCTGCACATAGGACTCCAGAACACTCCTTCTGTGTTCTGAATGTATTTTCCTAACAGAGGATTCCAGAACAATGGTACGAGGTTCTGAATGCTTGTTCTACACGTAGGATTCCAGAACACCCCAGCTTTGGTCTGAATGATTGTCCCTCACATTGGATTCCAGAACACTGCTGGGTTCGCAGTGTTTGTCTCTCACATAGGATTCGAGAACAGTGCTACGAGGGTCTGAATGTTTTTCCCTCTCATAGGATTCAAGAACACTGCAGCAACCGTCTGAATTATTCTCCCACACATGGGATTCCAGGGCACTCTTGCTGTGGTCTGAACTGTGTGTCCCTGAATTAGGATTCCAGAACACTCCTGCTTTAATCTGAATGTTTGTCCCTCACATAGGATTCCAAAACACTCCTGATTTGATCTGAATGTTTGTCCCTCACATAAGATTCAAGAACACTGCTGCTGGGGTCTGGAAGTTTGTCCCTCACATATGATTTCAGAACACTTCTACGGGTTTCTCAATCTTTGTCCCTCACATAGGATTCCAGAAATCTGCTTCTGGCTTCTGAGTGTTTTTCTCTCACATAGGATTCCAGAACACTGCTATGAGGGTCTGAATGTTTGTCCCTCACATAGGATTCCTGGACACTCCTGCTGTGGTCTGAATGTTTGTCCCACACACAGAACTCCAGAACAATGCTGCTGGGTGTGAATGTTTGTCACTCACACAGGATTCCAGAACACCCCTGCTGTGTTCTGAATGTTTGTTCATCACATAGACTTCCAGAACACTCCTGCTGTGGTCTGGGTGTTTATCTCTCACATAGGATTCCAGAACAGTGCTGCTGTGGTCTGAATGTTTGTCCCTCGCATAGGATTCCAGAACACTGCTACGAAGATTTGAATGTTTGTCTTTCACATAGGATTTTAGAACACTGCAGCAGGGTTCTGAATATTTGTCCTTCACATAGGATTCCAGATCACTACTGCTGTGGTCTGAATGTTTGTCCTTTACATAGGATTTCACAACACTGCTACGAGGGTCTGAATGTTTGTCCCTTAAATAGGATACCAGAAAACTCCTGCTGTGCTGTGAATGTTTATTCCTCACATAGGATTCCAGAACACTGCTGCTTTGGTCTGAAAGGTTGTCCCTCACAGAGGATTCCAAAACTCTGGTACGAGGTTCTGAATGTGAGTTCCTAACATAGGATTCCAGAACACTGCTGCTGGGTTCTGAGTGTTTGTACCTGCAATAAGATTCCAGAACACTTCTGCTGGGGTCTGAATGTTTCTCCCTCATGTAGGATTCCAAAACAGTCCTGCTGTCTTCTGAGTGTTTGTCCCTCAAATGGGGTTCGAGAACACTGCTATGAGGGTCTGAATTATTCTCCCTCACATAGGATTCCAGAACACGGCTATGAGGGTCTGAATGTTTGTCCCTCACATATGATTCCTGAATACTCCTGCTGTGGTCTGAAAGTTTCCCTCAAATAGGATTCCAGAACAGTGCTGCTGGGTTCTGAGTGTTTTTGCCTCACATATGATTCCAGAACACTGCTACGAGTGTCCTAATGTTTGTTCCTCACATAGGATTACAGAACACTGCTGCTGGGTTCTGTGTATTTCTCACTCACATAGGATTCCAGAACACTGCTACGAGGGTCTGAATATTTGTTCCTCACATAATATTCCAGAACACTGCCAAGAGAGTCTGAATGTTTATCCCTCAGATAAGATTACAGAACAATGCTACGAGGCTCAGAATGTTTGCTCTTCACATCGGATTCCAGAACACTACTGCAGTGGTCTGAATGGTTGATGCTCACATAGGATTCCAGAACACTCCTGCTGTGGTCTGGGTGTTTGTGCCTCACATGGGATTCCATAACAATCCTGCTGTGGTGTGAATGCTTCTCTGTCACATAGGATTACAAAGCATTCTTGCTGTGGTCTGAGTGTTTGTCCCTCACATAGGGCTCCAGAACATTCCTGCTGTCGTGGGAATGTTTCTCCCTCACTTATGTTTCCAGAACACTCCTGCTGTGGTCTGAATGTTTATCCCTCACTTAGGATTCCAGAACACTGCTGTTGGGTTCTGAGTGTTTTGTGCCTCACATACGATTCTAGAACACTTCTACATTGGTCTAAATGCTCGTCCCTCACATAGGGCTCCAGAAAACTACTATGAGGGTCTGAATATTTGTCCCTCACCTAAGACTCCATAACACTGCTAAGAGAGTCTGAATGTTTGTCCCGCATGTAGAATTCCAGAACACTCCTGCTGTGTTCTGAATGTATTTTCCTCACTTAGGATTCCAGAACAATGCTACGAGGGTCTGAATGGTTGTCCCACACTTAGGATTCCAGAACACCCCAGCTGTGGTCTGAATAATTGTCCCTCACATAGGATTCCAGAACACTGCTGCTGGGTTCTGAGTGTTTGTCCCTCACATAGGATTCCAGAACACTGTTACGATGGTCTGAATGTTTGTCCCTCAAATAGGATTCCAGAACACTGCTATGAGGGTATAAATTATTCTCCCTCACATAGGATTCCAGAACACTCCTGCTGTTGTCTGAATATTTGTTCCCCACTAAGTATTCAAGAGCACTCCTGCTGCAGTCTGAGTGTTTGTCCCTCACTTAGGATTCCAGAACACTACTGTTGGGTTCTGAGTGTTTGTCCCTCAGGTACAATTCCACAACACTGCCACGTGGGTCTATATGTTTGTCTGTTACGTAGGATTCCAGAACAGTGCTACGAGGGTCTGAATGTTTTTCTCGCACATAGGACTCCAGAACACTCTTGCTGTGTTCTGAATGTATTTTCCTATGATAGGATTCCAGAAGAATGTTATGAGTGTCTGAATGCTTGTCGCACATGTAGGATTCCAGAAAACCCCAGCTGTGGTCTGAATGATTGTCCCTCACATAGGATTCCAGAACACTGCTGCTGGGTTTTCAGAGTTTGTCCCTACCATAGCATTCCAGAACACTGCGACGAGGGTCTAAATATTTGTCATTCACATAGAATTCCAGAACACTGCTACTGGGTTCTGAGTGTTTGTCCCTCACAAAGGATTCCTGAACAATGCTGCTGTGGTCTGAATGTTTGTCTCTCATATAGGATTCCAGAACACTACTGCTGTGGTCTCAACGTTTGACCCTCAGATATGATTCCAGAATACTCCTGCTGTGATCAGGGTGTTTGTGTCTCACATGGGATTCCAGAACAATCCTTCTGTGGTCTGAATGTTTCTCCCTCACATAGGATTCCAAAACATTCCTGCTGCAGTCTGAGTGTTTGTCCCTCAAACAGGATTGTAGAACACTGCTACTGGGGTCTGAATGTTTGTCCCTCACATAGGATTCCAAAACCCTGACAGGAGGGTCTGAATTATTCTCCCTCTGATAGGATTCCAGGGCACTCCTGTTGTGGTCTGAATGTTTGTCCCTCACTTAGGATTCCAGAACACTGCTGTTAGGTTCTGAGTGTTTGTCCCTCATGTGCGATTCCAGAACAATGTTACGTGGGTCTAAATATTTGTCCCTCACATAGGATTCCAGAACACTGCTAGGAGGGTCTGAATGTTTCTCTCGCACGTAGGACTCCAGAACACTCCTCCTGTTTCCTGAATGTATTTTCCTCACATGGGATTCCAGAACAATGCTACCAGGGTCTGAATGTTTTTCCCACACTTAGGATTCCAGAACACCTCAGCTGTGTTCTGAATGATTGTCCCTCCCATAGGATTCCAGAACACTGCTGCTGGGTTCTGAGTGTTTCTCCCTCACATACGATTCCAGAACACTGCTACGAGGGTCTGAATGATTGTAGTTCACATAGGATTCCAGAACACTCCTGCTCTGTTCTGAATGTTTGTCACTCAGATAGGATTCCAGAAAAAAGGTGCTGGGTTCTGAATGTTTGTCCCTCACATAGGATTTCAGAACACTCTTGCTGTGGTCTGAATGTTTGTCCCTCACATAGGATTGCAGAACACTACTGCTGTGGTCTGAATGGTTGACCCTCACATAGGATTCCAGAACATCCCTGCTCTGGTCTGGGTGTTTCCCCCTTAAATAGGATTCCAGAACACTGCTGCTGGGTTCTGAGAGTTTGTCCAACACACAGGATCCCAGAACTCTCTTGCTGTGTTCTGAATATTTGTCACTCATATAGGATTCCAGAACCCTGATGCTGTGGTCTGAATGGTTGACCCTCACATAGGATTCCAGAACAATCCTGCTGTGGTCTGTGTGTTTTTACCGCACATGGTATTCCAGAACAATCCTGCTGTAGTCTGAATGTTTCTCCCTCGCATAGGCTTCCAAAACATTCCTCCTGTGTCTGAGTGTTTGTCCCTCAAATAGGATTCCAGAACACTGGTATTGACATCTTAATGTTTGTCCCTCACTTAGGATTCCAGAACACTGCTGTTGGGTTCTGAGTGTTTATCCTCACGTACGATGCCGGAACACTGTTACGTGGGTCTTAATGTTAGCCCTCCACAGAGGACTCCAGAACACGGCTACAAGGGTATGAATGTTTGCCTCACACATAGGACTGAAGAACAATCCTGCTGTGTTCTGAATGTATTTTCCTCACATAGGATTCCAGAACAATGCTACGAGGGTCTGAATGTTTGTCCCACAAATAGGATTCCAGAACACACCAGCTGTGGGCTGAATGATTGTCCCTCACATGGGATTCCAGAACAATGCTACTGGGTTCTAAATGTTTGTCCCTCATGTAGGATTCCTGAACACTACTGCTGGGGTCTGAATATTTGTCCCTCATCTAGGATTCCAGAAGACTACTGCTGTGGTCTGAATGTTTGACCCTCACATAGGATTCCAGAACACGCCTGCTGTGGTCTGGGTGTTTGTGCCTCACATGGGATTCCAGAACAGTCCTGCTGTGGTCTGAATGTTTCTCCCTCACATATGATTCCAAAACATTTCTGCTGTTGTCTGAGTGTTTGTCCCTCAAATAGGATTCTAGAACACTGCTACTGGGGTATGAATGTTTGTTCCTCTCATAGGATTCCAGAACACTGCTACGAGGGTCTGAATTATTCTACCCCACATAGGATTCCAGGACACTCCTGCTGTGGTCAGAATGTTTGTCCCTCACTTAGTATTCCTGAACACTGCTGTTGGGTTCTCAGTGTTTGGCCCTCACATACTATTCCAGAACACCACAGCTGTGGTCTGAATGTTTGTTCCTCAGATGGGATTCCAGATCACTCCTGCTGTTGTCTGAATGTTTTTCCCTCTTATAGGCTTGCAGAACACTACTGCTGTTGTCTGAATGGTTGACCGTCACATAGGATTCCAGAACACCCCTGCTCTTGTCTGGGTGTTTGTCCCTAAAATAGGATTCCAGAACACTGCTGCTGCGTTCTGAGTGTCTGTCCCTTCACATAGGATTCCAGAACAGTGCTGATATGGTTTGAATATTTGTTCCTCCATAGAATTCTAGAACAATCCTGCTGTAATCTGAATGTTTGTCTCTCATACAGGATTCCAGACTACTACTGCTGTGGTCTGAATGTCTGACCATCACATAGGATTCCAGAACAATCCTGCTGTGGTCTGGGTGTTTGTGCCTCACATGGGATTGCAGAACAATCCTGCAGTAGTCTGAATGTTTCTCCCTCACATTGGATTCCAAAACATTCCTGCTATGGTCTGAGTGTTTGTCCCTCAAATACGATTCCAGAACACTGGTATTGAGGTCTGAATATTTGTCCATCACATAGGAATCCAGAACACTATCACGAGGGTTTGAATTATTCTCCCTCACATAGGATACCAGCGCACTCCTGCTGTGGTCTGAATGTTTGTCCCTCATTAGGATTCCAGAACACTGCTGTTGGGTTCTGAGTGTTTGTCCCTCACGAAAGATTCCAGAACACTCCCATGTGGGTCTAAATGTTTTTCCCTCACATAGGATTCCAGAATACCGCTAAGAGGGTCTGAATGTTTGTCCCGCACATAGGACTCCAGAACACTCCTGATGTGTTCTCAATGTATTTTCCTCACATAGGATTCCAGAACAATGCTACCGGGGTCTGAATGTTTTTCCCACATATAGGATTCCAGAACACCCCAGCTGTGGTCTGAATGATTGTACCTTACATAGGACTCCCGAACACTGCTGCTGGGTTCTGAGTGTTTCTCCATCACATAGGATTCCAGAACACTGCTGCTGGATTCTGAGTGGTTCTCCATCACATAGGATTCCAGAACACTGCTACAAGGGTCTGAACCATTGTATCTCACATAGGATTCCAGAACACTCCTGCTGTGGTCTGAATGTTTGTACCTCATCTAGGATTCCCGAGCACTGCTGCTGTGGTCTGAATGGTTGACCATCACATAGGATGGCAGAACACTCCTGCTGTGGTCTGGGTGTTTGTGCCTCCAATGGGATTCCAGAACAATCCTGCTGTGGTCTGAATGTTTCTCCCTCACATAGGGTTCCAAAGCATCCCTGCTGTGCTCTGAGTGTTTGTCCCTCAAATAGGATTCCAGAACACTGCTACTGTGGTCTGAATGTTTGTTCCTCACATAGGATTGCAGAACACTGCTACGAGGCTCTGAATTATTCTCCCTTACATAGGATTCCAGAACACTCCTGCTGTGGTCTGAATGTTTGTCCCTCACTTAGAATTCCGCAACGCTGATGTTGGGTTCTGAGGGTTTGTCCCTCACGTACGACTCCAGAACACTGCTACGTGGGTCTAAAGGTTTCTCCCTCACATAGGATTCCAGAACACTGCTACAAGCCTCTGAATGGTTGTCCCGCACATAGGACTCCAGAAGATTCCTGATGTGTTCTGAATGTGTTTTCCTCACATGCGATTCCAGATCAATTCTAATTGTGTCTGAATGTTTGTTCCACACGTAGGATTACAGAACACCCCAGCTGTGGTCTGAATGATTGTCCCTCACATAGGATTCCAGAACACTGCTGCTGGTTTTTGAGTGTTTCTCCCTCACGTAGGATTCCAGTACACTGCTACGAGTGTCTCAATGATTGTACTTCACAGAGGATTAAAGAACACTCCTGCTCTGGTCTGAATGTTTGTCCCTCAGATAGGATTCCAGAACACTGCTGCAAGGTTCTGAGTGTTTGTCCCTCACATGAGATTCCAGAACACTGATGCTGTGGTCTCAATGTTTGCTCCTCACCGAAGTTTCCAGAATAAGCCTGCTGTTGTCTTAATGTTTGTTCCTCAAATAGGATTACAGAACACTACTGCTGTGGTCTGAAAAGTTGACCGTCATATAGGATTCCAGAACACTAGTGCTGTGGTCTGGCTGTTTGTGCCTCACGTTGGATTCTAGAACAATCCTTCTGTGTTCTGAATGTTTCTTCCTCACATAGGCTTCCAAAATATTCCTGCTGTGGTCTGAGTGTTTGTCCCTCAAATAGGATTCCAAAACACTGCTACTTGGGTCTAAAGGATTGTCCCTAACATAGGATTCTGGAACACTCCTACGAGGGTCTGTATGTTTCTTCCGCACATAGGACTCCAGAACACTCCTGCTGTATTGTGAATGAATTTTCCTCAAATAGGATTGCAGAACAATGCTGCGAGGGTCTAAATGTTTGTCTCACAGGTAGGATTCCAGAACACCCCAGCTGTGGTCTGAATGATTGTCCCTCACATAGGATTCCATAACACTGCTGCTGGGTTCTGAGTGTTTCTCCCTCACATAGGAAACCAGGACACTGCTACTGGGTTCTGAATGATTGTACCTCACATTGGACTCCAGAACACTCCTACTGTGGTATGAATGTTTGTCTCTCAGACAGGATTACAGAACACTGTTGCTGGGTTCTGAATGTTTGTCACTCACATAAGATTCCAGAACACTGCTCTTGTGTTCTGAATGTTTGTTCCTCACATAGGATTTCAGAACACTCCTGCTGTGGTCTGAATGGTTGAACCTCATATAGGATTCCAGAACACTCCTTCTGTGGTCTGGGTGTTTGTGCCTTACATGGGATTCCAGAACAATTCTGCTGTTGTCTGAATGTTTCTCTCTCACATAGGATTCCAAAACATTCCTGCTGTGGACTGAGTCTTTGTCCCTCAAATAAGATTCCAGAGACCTGGTACTGGGGTCTGAATGTTTGTCCCTCACATAGGATTCCATAACACTGCTATGAGGTTCTGAATTATTCTCCCACACATAAGGTTGCAGAACACTCCTGCTGTGGTCTGAATGTTTGTCCCTATCTTATTATTCCAGAACACTGATGTTGGGTTCTGAGTGTTTGTCCCTCACGTACGATTCCAGAACACTACTAAGTGGGTCTAAATGTTTGTCCCTCACATAGAATTCCAGAACACTGTTACGAGGGTGTGAATGTTTGCCTCACATAGCATTCCAGAACAATGCTACAAGGGTCTGAAAGTTTGTCCCACATGCAGGATTCCAGAACACCACAGGTGTGGTCTGAATGATTGTCCCTCAAATAGGATTACAGAAGACTGCCGCTGGGTTCTGAGGGTTTCTCCCTCACACAGGATTCCAGAATACCGCTACGAGGGTCTGAATGATTGTCCCTCACATAAGATTCCAGAACCCTCCTGCTGTGGTCTGAATGGTTATACCTTACATCCGATTCCAGAACACTGCTGCTGGGTTCTGAGTGTTTGTCCCTCACATAGGATTCCAGAACACTTCTATGAGGGTCTGAATGTTTGTCCCTCACATAGGATTCAAGAACACCCAATCTATGGTCTGAATGATTGTCCCTCACATAGGATTCCATATCACTACTGCTGGGTTCTGAGTGTTTCTCTCTCACATAGGATTCCAGAACATTACTACGAGGTTCTGAATGATTGTACCTCTCATAGGATTCCAGAATACTCCTGCTTTGGTCTGAATTTCCGTCCCTCAGATAGAATGCCAGAACACTGCTGCTGGGTTCTTAGTGTTTGTCCCTTACATAGGATTCCAGAACACTGCTACGAGGGTATGAATGTTTGTCCCTCACATAGAATTCTAGAACACTACTGCTGTGGTCTGAATGGTTGACCTTCACATAGCATTCTAGAACACTCCTGCTGTTGTCTGAGCGTTTGTGCCTCACATGGGATTCCAGAAAAATCCTGTGGTCATCTGAATGTTTCTCCCTAACATAGGATTCCAAAACATCCCTGTAGTGTTCTGAGTGTTTGTCCCTCAAATAGGATTCCAGAATGCTGCTACTGGGTTCTAAATGTTTGTCCCTCACATAGGATTCCAGAGCAATGCTATGACCATCTGAATTATTCTCCCTCACATAGGATTCCAGAACACTACTGCTGTGGTCTGAATGTTTGACCCTCATATAGGGTTCCAGAACACTCTTGTGTTCTCCGTGTTTGTGCCTTACATTGGTTTCTGGAACAATCCTGCTGTGGTCTGAATGTTTCTCCCTAACATGGGATTCTAAAATATTCCTGCTGTGGTCTGAGGGTTTGTCCCTCAAATAGGATTCCAGAAAACTGTAACTTGAGTCTGAATGTTTCTCCCTCACATAGGATTCCAGATCACTGCTACGAGGGTCTGCATTATTCTCCCTCACAAAGGATTCCAGGAGACTCCTGCTGTGGTCTGAATGTTTGTTCCTCACTAAGAATTCCAGAACACTGCTGTTGGGTTCTCAGTGTTTGTCCCTCACGTACGATTACAGAACACTGCTACATGAGTCTAAAAGTTTTTCCCTCAATAGGATTTCGGAACACTGCTGCTGGCGTCTGAATGTTTGTACCTCACATGGGATTCCAGAACAATCGTGCTGTGGTCTGAACGTTACTCACATAGGATTCCAGAACATTCCTTCTGTGGTCTGAATGTTTCTCCCTCACGTCGGATTCCAGAACACTGCTACGAGAGTCTGAATACTTTTCCCTCACATAGGATTTCAGAACACTGCTAAGAGGGTCTGAATGTTTGTCCTTCACATAAGATCCAAGAACACTGCCTCTGGGTTTTGATCGTTTGTCCTTCACATCGAATTCTAAAACACTGCCACAGGAGTCTGAAAGTTTGTCCCTCACATAGGATTCAAGAACACTGCTAAGAGGTTCTGAAGCTTTGTCCCTCACATAGGATTCTGGAAAAATTTTGCTGTGGTCTGAATGTTTGTTCTGCACAAAGGATTCCAGAAAACTTCTGCTGTGGTCTGTATATTTGTCCCTCACATAGGATTCCAGAACACCCCTGCTGGGTTCTGGCTGTCCCTCACATAAGACGCAATAACCCTTCTGCTGTGATCTGTATGTTTGTCCCTCACATAGGATTCCACAACACTGCTAGGAGGGTCTGAATGTTTGTCCTTCACATAGGATTCCAGAACACTGCTGCTGGGGACTAAATGTTATTCCTTCAAAAAGGATTCCAGAACACTTCTGCTGGGGTCTGGATGTTTTCTCCCTCACATAGGATTGCTTAAAAATGCTTCTAGGCTCTAAATGTTTGTCCATCACAGAGGATTCCAGAACCGTTCTGCTGGTTTCTGACTGTTTCTCCCACATATAGGTATCCAGAACACTGCTGCAGGGGTCTGAATGTTTATCCATCATATAGGATTAAAGAACACTCCTGCTTAGGTCTGAATGTTTGCCCCTCATATAGGATTCCAGAACAATGCTTCTGGCATCTGAATGTTTGTCGCTCGCATAGGATTCCACAACACTGCTGCTGGTTTCTGAGTGTTTGGCCTTCACATAGGATTCCAGAACACTGCTACCAGGGTCTGAATGTCTGTCTCTCACATAGGATTCCAGAACATTCCTCCTGTGGTATGAATGTTTGTCCCTCTCATAGGATTCCAGAACACTGCTGCTGGGTTCTGAGTGGTTAGCCCTCACAAAGGATTCCAGAACACTGCTAAGAGGGACTGAATGTTTGTCCCTCAAATAGCATTCCAGAACACTCCTGATGTGGTCTAAATATGCGTTCCTCACATAGGATTCCAGAAGAATTCTGCTCTAGTCTGAATCTTTGTCCCTCACTAGTATTCCAGAACACTGCTTCAAGGGTCTGAATGTTTGTCCCTCACAGGGGATTCTAGTACACTCCTGTTGTGGTCTGACTGTTTGTCCCCCACATAGGATTCCAGAACACTGCTAGGAGGAACTAAATGCTTACCCCTCACATAGGTTTCCGGAACACTCTTACCAGGGTCTGAATGTTTGTCCCTCACAGGGGATTCCAGAACACTCCTGTTGTGATATGAGTGTTTCTCCCTCACATATGATTCCAGAACACTCCTGCTGTTGTCTGAATGCTTTTCCCTCACACAGGTTCCCAGAACACTCCTGTTGGGTTGTGAGTGTTTGTCCCTCTCCTAAGATTCCAGAAAACTGCTACGAGGTTCTGAATATTTGCCCCTCACATAGGACTCCAGGACACTGCTGCTGTGTTGTAAATGTTTGTTTCTCACATAGGATTTCAGAAGACTCCTGCTGTTGTCTTAAAGTTTGTCCCACACATAGGATTCCAAAACAGTCCCGCTGTTGTTTGAATGTTTGTCCCTTACATAGGATTCCAAAACAATGCTGCTGGCGTCTGAATGTTTGTCCCTCACGTAGGATTCAAGAACACCGTTACGAATGTCTGAATGTTTGTTCCTCACATAGGATTTCAGAACAATACAGCTGTGATCTGACTGTTTGTCCCTCAAATAGGGTTCCAGAACACTGCTGCTGGGTTCTGAGTGTTTGTCCCTCACATCGGATTCCTGAACACCGCTGCGAGTGTCTGAATGATTGCTCCTCACATAGGATTCTAGAACAGTGCTGCTGAGGTCTAAATGTTTGTCCGACACATATGATTCCAGAACACTGCTAAGAGGGTCTGAAGGTTTGTTCCTCACACAGAATTCCAGAACACTGCTACGAGCATCTGAAAGTTTGTCCCTCACACAGGATTCCAGAACACTGCTACGAGGGTCTGAAAGTTTGTCCCTCACACAGAATTCCAGAACACTGCTACGAGCATCTGAAAGTTTGTCCCTCACACAGAATTCCAGAACACTGCTACAAGCATCTGAATGATTGTCCCTCATATAGGATTCCAGAACGCTGCTGCTGGGGTGTGAATGTTTGTCCCTCACATAGGATTCCAGAACAATGCTGCTGGAGTCTATATGTATGTCCTTCACATGATTCCAGAACCTTGCTGCTGGGTTCTGAGTATTTCTCCCTCACATAGAATTCCAGAACACTGCGACGAGGGTCTGAATGTTTGTTCATAACATAGGATTCCAGAACACTTTCGCTGTTGTTTTAAAGTTTGTCCCTCACATAGGATTCCAGAACACTGCTGCTGAGGTCTGAATGTTTGTCCCTCGCATAGGATTCCAGAACACTGCTGAGACTGTCTGAATGTTTGTCCCTCACATATTATTCCAGAACATTGCTACGATTGTCTAAATGTTTGTCCCTAACATAGCATTCCAGAACAATGCTCCGAGGGTCTGAATGTTTGTCCCTCACATACGATTCTGGAACACTGATACGATTGTCTGAATGTTTCTCCCTCACATATGATTCTGGAACACTGCTACGAGGGTCTCAAAATTTGTCCCTCACATAGGATTCCAAAACACTCCTGCTGTGTTCTGAGTGTTTGTCCCTAACATAGGATTCCAGAAGAATCCTGCAGTGGTCTCAATGTTTGTCCCTCACATAGGGTTCCAGAACACTGCTGCTGGGTTCTGAGTGTTTGTACCTCACATAGGATTCCAGAACACTGCTGCTATGGTCTAAATGTTTGTCCATCACGTAGGATTCCAGAACATTGCTACAAGGGTCTGAATGTTTCTTCCTCACAGGGCATTCCGTAACACTCCTGCTGTGGTCTGAATGTTTGTCCCTCAGACAGGATTCCAGAACACTACTACGAGGTTCCTAATGTATGTCCATCACACAGAATTCCAGAACACTGCTCTGAGGGTCTGAATGATTGTCCCTCTCATGTTATTCCAGTACACTACTGATGGGGTCTGAATGTTTGTCCCTCACATAGGATTCCAGAACACTGCTACGGGGCTCTGAATATTTGTCACTCACATAGAATTCCAGAACCCTTCTACGATTGTCTGAATGTTTGTCCCTCACATAGGATTCCAGAACACCGCTACGAATGTCTGAAGGTTTGTCCCTCACTTAGGATTCCAGAAGAATACAGCTGTGGTCGGAATGTTTGTATCTCACATAGGGTTCCAGAACACTGTTGCTGGGTTCTGAGTATTTGTACTTCACATAGGATTCCAGAACACTGCTACGAGTGTTTGAATGACTGTCCCTCACATAGGATTCCAGAACACTTCTACGATTGTCTGAATGTTGGTCTCTCACACAGGGTTCCAGAAGACTGCAGCTGGGTTCTGAGTGTTTGTCCCTCACTTAGAATTCCAGAACACTGCAATGATGGTTTGAATATACGTTCCTAACATAGGATTCCAGAACACTCCCGCTCTTGTTTGAATGTTTGTCCCTCACATAGGATTCCAGAACACTGCTACGGTTTTCTGAATGTTTGTCCCTCACATAGGATTCCAGAACACTTCTACGATTGTCTGAATGTTGGTCCCTCGCATAGGATTCCAGAACATTGTTATGAGGGTCTGAATGTTTGTTCCTCACAGGGGATTCCAAAACACTCCTGCTGTGTTCTGAGTGTTTGTCCCTCACATAGGATTCCAGATCACTGCAACGAGGGTCTGAATGAATGTGCCTCATATAGGATTCTAGAACGCTGCTGCTGAGGTCCGAATGTTTCTCTCTGACATAGGGTTTCAGAAAACTGCTACAAGTGTCTGAATGTTTGTCCCTAATATAGGATTCCATAACACTCCGGCTGTGGTCTGAATGTCTGTCCCTCACACAAGATTCCAGAACTCTGCTGCTGTAGTATGAATGGATCTCCATCACATAGCATTCCAGAACACTGCTACGAGGGTCTGAATGTTTGTGCCTCAAATAGGATTCCAGAACACTGCTGCTGGGGTCCGAATGTTTGTGCTCACATAGGATTCCAAAGCACTGCTATGAGATTCTGAATGTTTTTCCATCACATAATATTCCAGAAAACTGCTACGAGCGTCTGGAAGTTTGTGCCTCACATAGGACCAAAGAACTCTGCTGCTAGAATGCGAATGTTTGTTGCTAACATACAATTCCAGAACACTCCTGCTGTGTCTGAATGTTTGTCTTTCACAAAAGATTCCAGAACACTCCTACCGGGGTCTTAATTTTTGTCCCTCACATAGGATTCAACAACACTGTTGCTGGGGTCTCAAAGTTTGTCCCTCAGGTAGGATTCCAGAACACTGCTGCTGGGGTCTAAAAGTTTGTCTGTCACATAGGATGCCAGAAAACTGCTGTTAGTTTCTGAGTGTTTCTCCGTCACATAGAATTCCATAACAATGCAATGAGGATCTGAATGTTTGTCCATAACATAGGATTTCAGAACACTCCAGTTATTGTTTCAATGTTTGTCCCTCGCATAGGATTCCAGAACACTGCTAAGAGGGTCTGAATGTTTGTTCCTCACATAGGATTCCAAAACACTCCTGCTGTGTTCTGAGTGTTTGTCCTTCACATAGGATTCCAGATCAATCATGCAGTGGTCTGAATGGGTGTCCCTCACATAGGTTTCCAGAACACTGCAACAGGGGTCTGAATGTTTTTCCCTCACATTGCATTCCAGAAAACTGCTACGATTCTCTGAATGTTTGTCTCCCACATAGGATTCCAGAACACTGCTACGAGGGTCTGATTGTTTTTTTCTCACATTGGACCCCAGAACTCTGTTGCTGGGGTCTATATGTTTCTCTGTCAAATAGGATTCCAGAACCCTGATACGAGGGTCTGAATGTTTGTTCCTCACAGGGGATTCCAGAACACTCCTTCTTTGGTTTAAAGCTTTGTCCCTCACACGGAATTACAGAACAGTGGTACGAGGGTCTGAATGATTGTCCTTCCCATAGGATTCCAGAACACTGCTATGATAGTCTTAATATTTGTCCCTCACATAGGATTCCAGAACACTGCTACGATAGTCTGAATGTTTGTCCCTAACATAGGATTCCAGAACACTGCTATGAGGATCTGAATATTTGTCTCTCACATAGGATTCCAAAACACTCTTGCTGTGTTCTGAGGGTTTGTCTCTCACATAGGATTCCAGAACACCGCTACGACAGTCTGAATGTTTGTCCCTCACATTGGATTTAAGAACACTGTTATGAAGTTCTGAATGTTTGTCCCTCACATAGGATTCCAGAACACTGCTACGATTATGTGAATGTTTGCTCCTCACATAGGATTCCAGAACACTGCTACGAGGGTCTGAATATTTGTCCTCCAAGTTGGATTCCAAAACACTCCTGCTGTTTTCTGAATGTGTGTCCCTCACATAGAATTCCAGAACAATCCTGCTGTGGTCTGAATGTTTGTCCCTAACATAGTGTTCCAGAACACTGCAGCTGGGTTCTGAGTGTTTGTCCCTCACATAGGATTCCAGAACACTGCTACGAGTGTCTGAATGTTTCTCTCTCACATAGGATTCCAGAACACTGCTGCTGGGGTTTAAATGATTGTCCATCACATAGGATTCCTGAACACTGCTACGAGTGTCTCAATGTTTGTTCCTCACCGGGGATTCCACAACACCCCTGCTGTGGTCTGAAAGTTTGTCCCTCACATTGAATTCCAGAAAACTGCAAGGAGGGTCTGAATGTTTGTCCCTCACACAGAATTCCAGAACACTACTACGAGGGTCTGATTGACTGTCCCTCACGTAGGATTCCAGAACACTGCTTCTGGGGTCTTAATGTTTGTCCCCCACATAGGACTCCAGAACACTGCTGCAGGAGTCTATGTGTATGTCTTTCACATCGGATTCCAGAACACTGAGGCCGGGTTCTGAGTGTTTCTCCCTCACATAGATTCCAGAACACTGCATCGAGGGTCTGAATGTATGTTTCTTTTTATGTTATATTATTTCGTTTATTATTATTATACTTGGAATTTATGTTTCTAACGTAGGATTCCAGAACACTTCCGCTGTTTTTTGAATGTTTTTCCCTCACATAAGATTCCAGAACACTGCTGCTGGGGACTGAATATTTGTCACTCACATTCCAGAACAGTTCTACGGTTGTCTGAATGTTTCTCCCTCACATAGGATTCCAGAACACTGCTACAAGGGTCTGAATGTTTGTCCCTCAGATAGGATTTCAGAACACTTCTACGATTGTCTGATTGTTGGTCCCTCACATCGGATTCCAGAACACTGCGACGAGGGTCTGAATATTTGTTCCTCACAGGGGATTCCAAAACACTCCTGCTGTGTTCTGTTTGTCCCTCACATAGGATTCCAGATCACTGCAACGAGGGTCTGAATGAATGTGCCTCATATAGTATTCCAGAACACTGCTGCTGGGGTCTGAATGTTTGTCCCTCACATAGGATTCCAGAACACTGCTGCTGCAGTCTACTCGTGTGTCCCTCACATTGGATGCCAGAACACTGCTGCTGGTTCTGAGTGTTTCTCCCACACATAGAATTCCAGAACACTGCAACGGGGGTCTGAATGTATGATCCTAACTTAGGATTCCAGACCACTCCCGCTCTTGTTTGAGTGTTTGTCTGTCACATGGGATTCCAGAACACTTCTGCTAGGGTCTGAATGTTTGTCCATAACATAGGACTCCAGAACACTCCCGCTGTTGTTTGAACGTTTGTCCCTCATATAGGATTCTAGAACACTGCTTCTAGGTTCTGAATGTTTGTCCCTCACGTAGGATTCCAGAACACTGCTACAATTGTCTGAACCTTTGTCCCTCATATAATATTCCAGAACACTTCTGTGAGGATCGAAATGTTTGTCACATATTATTACAGAACACCCCCACTCTGGTCTGAATGTTTCTCCCGCACATAGGATGACAGAATACTGCTGAGAGGGTCTGAATGATTGTCCCTCAAATAGGATTCCAGATCAATGCTGCTGGGGTCTAAAGGTTTGTCCGTCACATCGGATTCCAGGTTACTGCTACAGGGTTCTGAATGTTTATTCCTCACAGGGGATTCCAGATCACTACTTCTGTGTTCTGAAAGTTTGACCCTCACGTAGGATTCTGGAACACTGCCATGATTGTCTGAAAGTTTTTCCCTCACACAGAATTCCAGAACAATGCAACGAGGGACTGAATGATTGTCTCTCATGTAGGATTTCAGAAGACTGCTGCTGGGGTCTGAATGTTTGTCCCTCACATACGAGTCCAGAACACTGCTGCTGAGGTCTGCATGTATGTCCATCGCATAGAATACCAGAACACTGCTGCGGAGTTCTGAGTCTTTCTCCGTCACATAGAATTCCGGAAAACTGCAATGATGGTCTGAATGTTTGTCCGTAACATAAGATTCCCGAACACTCCCGCTGTTGTTTGTTTGAATGTTTGTTCCTCACATAGGATTCCAGAACACTGCTGCTGGGTTCTGAATGTTTGTCCCTCACATAGGATTCCAGAACACTGCTACGATTGTCTGAATGTCTGTCCATCACATAGGATTCCAGAACACTGCTGCTGGGGTCTAAATCTTTGTCCGTCACATTGGATTCCAGAACACAGCTATGAGGGTCTGAATGTTTCTCCCTCACAGGCGATTCCAGAACACTCCTGCTGTGGTCTGAATGTTTGTCCCTCACATAGGTTTCCAGAGCACTAGTAGGAGTGTCTGATTTTTTGTCCTCCCATAGGATTCCAAAACACTGCTACGAGGTTCTGAATGTTTTTCCCTCACATAGGATTTCAGAACACTGCTGCGAGCATCTGAATTTTTGTTTCTCACATAGGACAAAAGAACACTGGTGCTGGGGTCTGAATGTTTGTTGCTCCCATAGGATTCCAGAACACTCCTGCTGTAGTCTGAATGTTTCTCATTAACAAAAGATTCCAGAACACTCCTGCTGGGATCTCAATATTTGTCCCTCACACAGGATTCAAGGACACTGCTGCTCTGGTCTGAAAGTTTGTCCCTCACATAGGATTCCAGTACACTGCTACGAGGGTCTGAATATTTGTCCCTCACATAGGATTCCAGAACACTGCTGCGATTGTTTGAATGTTTGTCTTTCACGTAGGATTTCAGAACACTGATACAAGAGTCTGAATGTTTGTCCCTCACATCGGATTCCAGAACACTCCTATGATTGTCTGAATGTTTGTCCCTTAGATAGGATTCCAGAACACTGCTACGAGGGTCTGAATGTTTTTCCCTCATATAGGATTCCAAAACACTCCTGCTGTGTTCTGAGTGTTTGTAGACACATCAGATCCAGAACACTACTGTTGTGATCTGAATGTTTCTGCATCACACCAGATTCCAGAACACGCTACGAGGTTCTGAATGACGGTCCCACACATAGGATTCCAGAACACCGCTGCTGGGGTCTAAATGTTTGTCCATCACACAGGATTCAAGAACAGTGCTACGAGGGTCTGAATGTTTCTTCCTCACTGGGGATTCCAGAATAGTCCTGCTGTGGTCTGAATGTTTGTCCCTCACACAGAATTCCAGAACACTGTTACGAGGGTCTGAATGATTGTCCTTCATATAGGATTCCAGAACTCTGCTGCTGGTGCCTGAATGTTTTTCCCTCACATAGGATTCCAGAACGCTGCTGCTGGGGTCTACATGTATGTCCGTCACATAGGAATCCAGAACACTGCTGCTGGGTTCTGTGTGTCTCTCCCTCACATAAATTCCAGAACACTGCGACGAGGGTATGCATGTTTGTCCGAAACGTAGGATGTCAGACGCTCTCGCTGTTTTTTGAATGTTTATCCCTCCCATAGGATTCCAGAACACTCTACGATTGTCTGAATGTCTGACCCTCACATAGGATTCCAGAACACTGCTGGGAGGCTCTGAATTTTTGTCCCTCCCATAGGATTACAGAACACTGCTACGATTGTCTGCATTTTTGTCCCTCACATAGGATTCCAGAACACTGCTACGACTGTCTGCATTTTTGTCCCTCACATAGTATTCCAGAACACTGCTAGGATGATCTGAATATTTGTCCCTCACATAGGATTCCAGAACACTGCTAGGATGATCTGAATATTTGTCCCTCACATAGGATTGCAGAACACTGCTATGAGTGTATGAATGTTTGCCTCTCACATAGGATTCCAGAACACGGCTTTGATTATCTAAATGTTAGTCCCTCACATAGGATTCCTGAACACTCCTGCTGTGGTCTGATAGTTTTTCCCTCACATAGGATTCCAGAACACTGCTACGAGGCTCTGAATGTTTGTCCCTCACATAGGATTCCAAAACACTCCTGCAGTGTTCGAAGTGTTTGTCCCCCACATAGGATTTCAGAACAATCTTGCTGTGGTCTCAATGTTTGTCTCTCCATAGGATTCCAGAATACAGTTGCTGAGTTCTGAGGGTTTGTCCCTCACATAGGATTCCAGAACACTGCTACGAGGTTCTGAATGTTTGTCTCTCACATAGGATTCCAGAACACTGCTGCTGGGGTCTAAATGTTTGTCCATCACATCGGAATCCAGACCACTTTTATGAGGGTCTAAAAGTTTCTTCCTCACAGGAGATTCCAGAACACTTCTGCAGTGTTCTGAATGTTTGTACCTCACATAGGATTCCAGAACACTGCTGCTGCCATCTAAATGTTTGTCTGTCACATAGGATTCCAGAACACTGCTATGAGGTCTCAATGTTTGTCCCTCACGTAGTATTCCAGAACACTGCTACGAGGGTCTGAATGTTTGTACCTCACAGAGCATTCCAGAACACTGCTATGAGTTTCTGGATGTTTATCCCTCACACAGAATTCCACAATACTGCTACAAGGGTCTGAATGATTGTCCCTCTCATAGGATTCCAGAACACTGCTGCTGGGGTCTGAATGTTTGTACCTCACATAGGATTCCAGAACACTGCTGCTGGGTTCTGGATGTTTGTCCATCATATAGGATTCCACCACACTGCTGCTGGGGTGTAGATTTATGGGCGTCACCTAGATTCCAGAACACTGCTGCAGGTTTCTGAGTGTTTCTCCCTCACATAGAATTCTAGAACACTGCAACTAGGGTCTGAATGTTTGTCCTTAACATAGGATTTCAGAACACTCCCGCTGTTGGTTGAATGTTTCTCCCTTACATAGGATTCCAGAACACTGCTCCTGGGGTCTGAATGTTTGTCCCTCACATAGGATTCTGGAACACTGCTATGATTATCTTAATACATGTCCCTCACAAAGGATTCCAGAACATTCCTACGAGGGTCTGAATGTATGTCCCACACATAGGATTCCAGAACACTGCTGCTGGGGTCTGAATGTTTGTCCCTCACATAGAATACCAGAAAACTGCTACGATTGTCTGAATGTTTGTTCCTCACTGGGGATTCCAGAACACTGCTACTGGGTCTAAATGTTTATCCATCACTTAGGATTCCAGAACACTGCTACGAGGGTCGGAATGTTTGTTCCTCACGGTGGATTCCAGAACACTCCTGCTGTGGTCTGAATGTTTGTCCCTCACACAGGGCTCCAGAACACTTCTACAAGGGTCTGAATGTTTCTCACTCACACAGAATTCCAAAACACTGCAACGAGGGTCTGAATGATCATCCCTCACATAGGAGTCCAGAACAATGCTGCTGGGGTCTACATGTCTGACCGTCACATAGGATTCCAGAACAATGCTGCTGGGGTCTGCATGTCTGTCCGTCACATAGGATTCCAGAACAATGCTGGTGGGTTCTGAATGTTTCTCCCTCACATAGAATTCCAGAACACTCGGACGAGGGTCTGAATATTTGCCTGTAACATAGGATTCCAGAACACTCCCACTGTTGTATGAATGTTTGTCCCTCACATAGGATTCCAGAACGCAGCAGCTGAGGTCTGAATGTTTGTCCCTCACATAGGATTCCAGAATTCTGCTATGATTGTCTGAACGTTTTTCCCTCACATAAAACTCCAGAACACTGCTGCTGGGGTCTGAATGTTTGTCTGTCACATAGGATTCCAGAACACTTTTACTAGTGTCTGAATGTTTGTTCCTCACTGGGGATTCCAGAGCACTCTTCCTGTGGTCTGAATGGTTGTCCTTCACATAGGATTCCAGAACACTGCTACGACGTTCTGAATGCTTGTCCCTCACACAGAATTCCAGAACACTGTTACGAGGGTACGAATGACTGTGCCTCGCATAGAATTCCAGAACACTCCTGCTGAGGTCTAAATGTTTGTCCGTAACATAGGATTACAGAACAATCCTGCTGTGGTCTGAAATTTTGACCCTCACACAGGGTTCCAGAACACTGCTGCTCATTTCTGAGTGTTTGTCCCTCACATAGGATTCAAGAACACTGTGAAGACGGTGTGAATATTTGTCTGTAACATAGGATTATGGAACACTCCCGCTGTTGTTTGAATGTTTATCACTCACATAGGATTCCAGAACACTGCTGCTGGGGTCTGAATGTTTGTCCCTCACATAGGATTCCAGCACACTGCTATGATTATCTCAATGTTTGTCCCTCACATAGGATTCCAGAATACTCCTTTGAGGGTCTGAATGTTTGTCCCTCACATAGGATTCCAGAACACTGCTACAAAACTCTGAATGCTTTTCCCTCACATAGGATTCCAGAACACTGCTAACTAGGGTTTGAATGTATGTCCCTCCCATAGGATTCCAGAACACTCCTGCTGTGGTCTGAATGCTTGTCCCTCACATACGATTCCAGAACACTACTACGAGGGTCTGAATTTTTGTCACTCACATAGGATTCCAAAACATTCCTGTTATTTTCTTAGTGTTTGTCCCTCACATATCATTCCAGAACAATCCCGCTGTGGTCTGAATGTTTGTCCCTCACATAGGATTCCACAAAACTGCTACAAGATTCTGAATGGTTTTCCTCACTGAGGATTCCAGAACACTGCTCCTGGGGTATAAATATTTGGCCGTCACATAGGATTCCAGAACACTACTACGAGGGTCTGTATGTTTGTTCCTCACAGGGGATTCCAGAACACTAATGCTGTGGTCTGAATGTTCGTTCCTAACACAGGATTCTGGTACACTGCTATGAGGGTCAGAATGTTTGTCCCTCACATTGGATTCCAGAACAATGCTACCAATGTCTGAATGTTTGTCCCTCACATAGAATTCCAGATCACTGCTATGAGGGTCTGAATGTTTGTCCCTCACATAGGATTCCAGAACACTCCTGCTATGGTCTGTATATTTGTCCCTCACATATGATTCCAGAACACTGCTACGAGAGTCTAAACGTTTGTCCCTCACACAGGATTTCAAAACCTTTCTGCTGGGTTCGGAGTGTTGGTCCCTCACATAGGTTTCCAGAACAATCCTGGCATGGTCTGAATGTTTATCCCTCACATAGGGTTCCAGAACACTGCTGCTGGTTTCAGTGTGTTTGTCGCTCATGTAGGATTCCAGAACACTGCTATGAGGGTCTGAATGTTTCTACCTCACATAGGATTCCAGAACACTGCTGCTGGGGTCTAAATGTTTGTCTGTCACATAGGATGATTTCACATAGGATTACAGAACACTGCTAAGAGGGTCTGAATGTTTGTTCCTCACAGATGATTCCAGAACACTCCTGCTGTTGTCTGAATGTTTGTTCCTCACAGATGATTCCAGAACACTCCTGCTGTTGTCTGAATGTTTGTCAATCACATAGGATTCCAGAACACTGCTATGAGGCTCTGAATGTTTGTTCCTCACACAGAATTCCAGAATACTGCTACCAGGGTCTGAATGATTATCCCTATTCTAGGATTCCAGAACACTGTTGCTAGGGTCTGAATGTTTGTCTGTCTCATAGGATTCCAGAATAATGCTGCTGGGGTCTACATGTGTGTCCATCCCATAGGATTCCAGAACAGTGCTGCTGGTTTCTAAATGTTTCTCCCTCACATAGAATTCCAGAACACTGCGACAAGGGTCTGATATTTGTCCATAACATAGGATTACAGAACACTCCCACAGTTGTTTGAATGTTTGTCCCTCACATAGGAATCCAGAACACTGCTAATGGGGACTGAATGTTTGTCCCTCACGCAGGATTCCAGAACAATGTTACGATTATATTAATATTTGTCCATAACATAGGATTACAGAACACTCCCGCAGTTGTTTGAATGTTTGTCCCTCTCAAAGGATTCCAGAACACTGCTACGCGGGTCTGAATGTTTGTCCGTAACATATGATTCAAGGACACTCCCGCTGTTGTTTGAATGTTTGTCCCTCACATAGGATTCCAGAACACTGCTGCTGTGGTCTAAATGTTGGTCCCTCACATAGGATTACAGAACACTGCCACGAGGGTCTGAATATTTGTTCCTCACAGGGGATTTGAGAACACTCCTGCTGTGGTCTGAATGTTTGTCAATCACATAGGATTCCAGAACACTCCTATGAGGCTCTGAATGTTTGTCCCTCACACAGAATTGCAGAACACTGCAGCCAGGATCTTAATGATTATCCCTACTCTAGGATTCCAGAACACTGCTGCTGGGGTCTGAATGTTTGTCCGTCTCACAGGATTCCAGAACAATGCTGCTGGGGTCTACATGTGTGTCCATCCCATAAGATTCCAGAACACTGCAGCTGGTTTCTAAGTGTTTCTCCCTCACATAGGATTCCAGAACACTGCGATGAGGGTCTGAATGTTTGTCCGTAACATAGGATTACAGAACACTCCCGCTGTTGTGGGAATGTTTGTCCCTCACATAGGAATCCAGAACACTGCTAATGGGGACTGAATGTTTGTCCCTCACACAGGATTCCAGTACAATGTTACGATTTTCTTAATATTTGTCCCTCACATAGGATTCCAGAACAAACCTGGAGGGTCTGAATGTTTGTCCCTCTCATAGGATTCCAGAACACTGCTACGAGGGTCTGAGTGTTTGTCCATAACATATGATTCAAGAGCACTCCCGCTGTTGTTTGAATGTTTGCCCCTCACATAGGATTCCAGAACACTGCTACGATTGTCTGAGTTTCTTCCTCACCTAGAATTCCAGACCACTGAGATGAGGGTCAGAATTTTTGTCCCTCAATAGGATTCCAGAATGCTGCTGCTAGGGTCTGAATGTTTGTCCCTCACTTAGGATTCCAGAACACTGCTGCTGGGGTCTACATTTATGTCCGAAACATAGGATTCCAGAACACTGCTGCTGGTTTCTGAGTGTTTCTCACTCACAAACAATTCCAGAACACTGCGACGAGGGTTTGAATGTTTGTCCGTAACATAGGATTCAAAAACACTCAAGTATTTATTTGAATGTTTGTCCCTCACATAGGATTCCAGAACACTGCTACGAGGGTGTGAATGTTTGTCCCTCACTTAGGATTCCAGAACACTCCTGCTGTGGACTGAATGTTTGTCCCTCAGAAAGAAAGCCAGAACAGTGCTACCAGGGTCTGAATATTTGTCCCTCACATAGGATTCAAGGACCCTGCTGCTGGGGCCTAAATGTTTGTCCTTCAAATAGGATTCCAGAACACTACTACGAGAGTCTGAATGTTTGTTCCTCACAGGGGATTCCAGAACACTTCTGCTGTGGTCTGAATGTTTGTCACTCACATGGGATTCCACATCACTGCTATGAATGTCTGAATGTTTGTCCCTCACAAAGAATTCCAGAACACTGCTACGAGGGTCTTTATGACTGTCCATCACATAGGATACCAGAACACTGCAGCTGGGGTCTGAATGTTTGTCCCTCACACAGGATTCCAGAACACTGCTGCTGGGGTCTGAATGTTTGTCTGTCACAAAGGATTCCAGAGCACTGCTGCTATGGTCTACATGTATGTCCTTCACATAGGATTCCAGAACACTGCTGCTGGGTTCTGAGTGTTTCTCCCTCACATAGAATTCCAGAACACTGCGACGAGGGTCTGAATGCTTGTCCGTGACATAAGATTCCAGAACACTCCCGAGGATGTTTGAATATTTTTCACTCATATAATATTCCAGAACACTGCTATGACGTTCTGAAATATTGTCCCTCACATGAGATTCTATAATACTGCTGCTGGGGTCTAAATGTTTGTCCGTCAGATAATATTCCAGACACTGCTAGGAGGTTCAAAATGTTTGTTCCTCACAGGGGATTCCAATACACTCTTGTTGTGGCCTGAATTTTTGTCCCTCACACAGGACTCCAGAACATTGCTACGAGTGTCTGAATGTTTGTCCCTCACATGGGATTCCAGAACACTGCTGCTGTGGTCTAAATGTGTGTCAGTCACATAGGATTACAGAACACACCTACGAGGGTCTGAATGTTTGTTCCCCACAAGGGATTCCAGAAGAGTCCTGCAGTGGTCAAAATGTTTGTCCCTGACACAGGATTCTGGAACACTGCTGAAAGTGTCTGAATGGTTGTCCCTCAAATAGGATTCCAGAACACTGCTGCTGGGGTCTGAAACTTTGTCACTAACATTGGATTCCAGAACACTGCTACGATTGTCTGAATGTTTGTCTCTCACATAGGATTCCAGAACACTCTTACGAGGGTCTGCATGTTTGTCCCTCACATGGGATTCCAGAACACTGCTACGATTGTCTGAATGTTTGTACCTCACATAGGATTCCAGAACACTGCTACGAGGTTTTGAAATTTTGTCCCACACACAGGATTGCAGAACACAGCTATGAGGGTCTAAAAGTTTGTTTCTCAAAGGGAATTCCAAAACAGTCCTGCTGTGGTCTGAATGTTTGTCCCTCACATAGGATTCCAGAACACTGCTATCAGGGTCTGAATGTTTATCCCTCACTCAGGATTCCAGAACACTGTTGTGAAGGTCAGATTGTTTATCCCTCACATAGTATTCTAAAACACTCCTGCTATGTTTTGAGTGTTTGTCACTCACATAGGATTCCAGAACACTGCTGCTGGGTTCTAAATATTTGTCCATCAGATAAGATTCCAGTACACTGCTATGAGGGTCGGAATGTTTGTTCCTCACAGGGGATTCCAGAACACTCTTGCTGTGGTCGGAATGTTTTTCCCTCACACAGGATTGCAGAACACTGTTACGACGGTCTGAATGTTTGCCCCTCACACAGAATTCCAAAACACGGCTATGATGGTCTGAATGATTGTCCCTCACATGGGATTCCAGAACACTGCTGCTGGAGTCTGAATGTTTGTCCCTCACATAGGATTCCAGAACACTGCCGCTGGGTTCCGAGTTTTTGTCCCTCACAGGGAATTCCAGAACACTGCCGCTGGGTTCCGAGTTTTTGTCCCTCACAGGGAATTCCAGAACACTGCAACGATGGTCTCAATGTTTGTCTGTAACATAGGGTTCCAGAACAATCTCTCTGTTTTTTGAATGTTTGTCCCTCACATAGGATTCCAGAACCCTGCTACGATTGTCTGAATGTTTGTCCGTAACATAGGGTTCCAGAACACTCTCTCTGTTTTTTGAATGTTTGTCCCTCACATAGGATTCCAGAACCCTGCTACAATTGTCTGAATGTTTGTCCCTCACATAGGATCCCAGAACACTGCCACGATTGTCTCAATGCTTGTCCCTCACGTAGGATTCCAGAACACTGCTACGACAGTCTAAATGTTTGTCCCTCACATAGGATTCCTGAACACTGCTATGATTGAATGTTTGCCCCCACATAGGATTCCAGAATACTGCTACGAGGGTCTGAAAGTTTGTCTCTCATATAGGATTCCAGAACACTGCTAAGATTTTTTGAATGCTTGTCACTCACGTGGGATTCCAGAACACTCGCGCTGGGGTCTGAATGTTTATCCCTCACACAAAATTCCAGAACACTGCCACGAGGGTCGGAATGATTGTCCCTCACATAGGGTTCCAGAACACTGCTGCTGGAGTCTACAAGTAGGTCTGTCACATAGGGTTCCAGAACACTGCTACAGGAATCGGAGTGTTTCTCCCTCACATAGAATTCAAGAACACTGCGAGGAGGGTCTGAATGTTTTTCCTTGTCATAGGATTCCAGAACACACCTGCAGTTGTTTGAATGTTTTTCCCTCACATAGGATTCCAGAACACACCTGCAGTTGTTTGAATGTTTTTCCCTCACATAGGATTCCAGAATACTGCTGCTGTGGTCTGAATGTTTGTCCCTCACACAGAATTCCAGAACACTGCTACGACGTTCTGAATGATTTACCCTCACATACGATTCCCGAAGACTGTTCCTGGGGTCTGAATGTTTGTCCCTCACATAGGCCTTCAGAACACTGCTGCTGGGTTCTACATGTATGTCCGTCACATAGGATTCCAGAACACTGCTAAGAGGATCCGAATGTTTGTCCCTCACATACTATTCCAAAACACTCCTGCTATGTTCTGAGTGTTTGTCCCTCACATAGTATTCCAGAACAATCCTGCTGTGGTGTGAATGTTTGTCCCTCACATAGGGTTCCAGAACACTGTTGCTGGGTTTTGAGTGTTTCTCCCTCACATAGGAATCCAGAACACTGCTACAAGGGTCTGAATGCTTGTCCCTCACATGGGATTCCAGAACACTGCAGTTGCAGTTGGGGTCTTAATGTTTGTCCGTTACATAGGATTCCAGAACACTGCTAAGAGGATCCGAATGTTTGTCCCTCATATAGGATTCCAGAACACCGCAACTAGGTTCTGAATGATTTACCCTCACATAGGATTCCAGATCACTGCTAAGAGGATCCGAATGTTTGTCCCTCATATAGGATTCCAGAACACCGCAACTAGGTTCTGAATGATTTACCCTCACATAGGATTCCAGATCACTGCTAAGAGGATCCGAATGTTTGTCCCTCATAGGATTCCAGAACACTGCTACTAGGATCTGAATATTTGTTACTCACAGGGGATTGCAGAACACTCCAGCTGTGGTCTGAATGTTTGTCCCTCAAATAGGATTCCAGAACACTGCTATGAGTGTCTGAATGTTTTTCCATCACACAGAATTACAGGACACTGCTGTTACCGTCTACATGTATGTCTGTCACATAGGATTTAAGAACATTGTTGCCGGTTTCTGAGTGTTTCACCCTCACATAGAATTCCAGATCACTGAGACGAATTTCTGAATGTATGTCCGTAACTTAGGATTCCAGAACACTCACTCTGTTGTTGGAATGTTTGTCCCTCACATACGATTCCAGAACACTGCTGTTGTAGTCTGAATGTTTCTCCCTCACATAGGATTCGAGAACACAGCTACGATTGTCTCAATGTTTGTCCCTCACATAGGATTCCAGAAAAATGCTACAAGGGTCTGAATATTTGTCACTTACATAGGATTCCAGAACACTGCTACAAGTGTCTGTATGTTTGCCCCTCACATAGGATTCCAGAACACTGCTACGATTGTCTGAATGATTGTCCCTCCCATAGGATTCCAGAACACTCCTGCTGGGGTCTGAATGATTTTCCCTCACATAGGATTCCAGAATACTGCTGCTGGGTTCTCACTGTTTCTACCTCACATAGAATTCCAGAGCACTGAGACGAGGTTCTGAATATTTGTCCATAACCAGGGATTGCAGAACACTCCCGATCTTGGTTCAATGTTTCTCCCTCACATAGGATTACAAAACACTGCTGCTGGGGTCTGAATTTATTTCCCTTTCTTGAGATTCCAGAACATGGCTACGATTTTCTGAATGTTTGTCCCTCACATAGGATTCCAGAACACTGCTATGAGGGTCTGAATGTTTCTCCCTCATATTGGATTCCAAAACACTCCCGCTGTGTTTGAGTGTTTGTCCCTCACGTAGGATTCCAGAACAATCCTGCTGTGGCCTGAATGTTTGTCCCTCACATAGGGTTCCAGGACACTGTTGCTGGGTTCTGAGTTCTTTTCCCTCACACAGGATTCCTGTACACTGCAACGAGTGTCTGAATGTTTGTCTCTCACAGGATTACAGAACACTGCTTCTGAGGTCTAAATGTTTGTCCATCACATAGGATTCCAGAACACTGCTATGAGGTTCTGAATGTTTGTTCCTCACAGTGGATTCCAGAAGACTCTTGCTGTGGTCTGAATGTTTGTCCCTCACAAAGGATTCCAGAACACTGCTCTGATGGTCTGAATCTTTGTCCTTCACACAGAATTCGAGAACACTGCTACGACGGTCTGAATGCTTGTCCCTCACATAGGGTTCTAGAACACTGCTGCTGTGGTCTGAATGTATGTCCCTCATGTAGGATTCGAGAACACTGCTGCTGGGTTCTGATTGTTTCTCCCTCAAATAGAATTCCAGAGCACTGCGGAGAGGATCTGAATTTTTGTCCATAACTTAGGATTCCAGAACACAGCCTCTGTAGTTTGAATGTTTGTCCCTCATATAGGATTCCAGAACACTGCTGATGGGGTCTGAAAGTTAGTCCCTCACATAAGATTCCAAAACACTGCTACGATTGTCTGAATGTTTTCCCTCACATAGGATTCCAGGGCACTCCTGCCGTGTTATGAATGTTTGTCCCTCACATAGTATTCCAGAACACTGCTGCTCGGGTCTACATGTATGTCCGTCACATAGGATTCCAGTACACTGTTGCTGGGTTCTGAGTGTTTCTCCCTCACATAGAATTCCAGAACACTGTGACGAGGGTCTGAATGTTTGTCCATAACATAGGATTCCAGAACACTCCCACTGTTGTATCAATGTTTATAGCTCACATAGGATTCTGGAACACTGCTGCTGGGGTCTGAATGTTTGTCCCTCGCAAAGAATTCCCGTACACTGCTAAGATTGTATGAATGTTTGTCTCCCACATAGGATTCCAGAACACTGCTACGAGTGTCTGAAAGTTTTTCCCTCACATAGGATTCCAAAACACTCCTGCTATGTTCTGAGTGTCCCTCACATAGGACTCCAGCATAATCCTGCTGTGGCCTGAATGATTGACCCTCACATAGGGTTCCAAAACACTGCTGTTGGGTTCTGAGTGTTTGTCTCTCACATAGGATTCCAGAACACTACTACCAGGGTCTGAATGTTTGTTCCTCACACAGTATTCCAGAAAACTGCTTCTGGGGACTTAATGTTTGTCCGTCACATAGGATTCCAGAACACTGATATGAGGCTCTGAATGTTTGTTCCTCACCGGGGATTCCAGAACACTGCTATGAGGGTCTGAATGTTTGTCCCACACAGAGAATTCCAGAACACTGCTATGAGGGTCTGAATGACTATCCTTCACATAGGATTCCAGAATACTACGGCTGCTGTCTGAATATTTGTCCCTCACATAGGATTCCAGAACACTGCTGCTGGGGTCTACATGTATGTCTGTCACATAAGGTTCCAGAACACTGCTGCTGGGTTCAGAGTGTTTCTCCCTCAGTTAGAATTCCAGAACACTGCGACGAGGATCTGAATGTTTCTCTGTAACAGAGGATTCCAGAACACTCTTGCTGTTGTTTGAATGTTTGTCCCCCACATAGGATTCGAAAACACTGCTGCTGGGGTCTGTATGTTTGTCCGTCACATAGGTTCCTGAACACTACTACGATTGTTTCAATGTTTGTCCCTCATATAGGATTATAGAACACTGCACTGAGTGTCTGAATGTTTGTCCCTCACTTGAGGTTCCAGAGCACTGCTGCTGGGCTCTAAATGTTGGTCCGTCACATAGGATTCCAGAACTATGCTACGAGGGTCCGGATATTTGTTCCTCCCATTGGATTCCAGAACAATCCTGCTCTAGTCCGAATGTTTGTCCTTCATATAGGCTTCCAGAACGCTGCTATGGGGGTCTGAAGCTTCCTCCCTCACAAACATCTCCAGAACACTGCTACAAGGGTCTGAATGATTGACCCTCACAGAGGATTCCAGAACACTGCTTTTGAGATCTGAATGTTTGTCTTCACATATGATTCAAGAACACTGCTGCTGGCGTCTACATGTATGTCCATCACATAGGATTCCAGAACACTCCTGTTGGTTTCTGAGTGTTTCTCTCTAACACAAAATTCCAGAACACTGCGACGAGGTTCTGAAAGTCTGTCTGTTACATAGGATTCGACAACACTCCCGCTGTTGTTTGAATGTTTGTTCCTCACATAGGATTCCAGAACGCTGCTGGGGTCTGAATATTTGTCCCTCACATAGGATTCCAGAACATGGCTAAGATTATCTGAATGTTTGTCCCTCACATGTGATTCGAGAACAAAGCTACGAGTGTCTGAATGTTTTTTCCTCACGTAGGATTCAAGAGCACTGCTGCTGGGGTCTAAAGGTTCGTCCCTCACATAGGATTCCAGAACACTGCTACGAGGGTCTGAATGTTTTTTCCTCACAGAGGATTCCAGAACAATCCTCCTGTGGTCTGAATGTTTGTCCCTCACGTAGGATTCCAGAACACGGCTTTGAGGATCTCAATATATGGCTCTTACACAGAATTCCACAACGCAGCTACGAACGTCTGAATGAATGTCCCTCACATAGGATTCCGGAACACTGCTACGGTTGTCTGAATGTTTGTCCCTCACTTAGGATTCCAGAACACTGCTACGAAGGTCTGAATATTAGTCCCTCACGTAGGATTCCAGAGCAATCCTGCTGTGGTCTGAATGTTTCTCACTCACATAGTGTTCCAGAATGCTGTCGCTGGGTTCTAAATGTCTGTCCCTCACAAAGGATTCCATAACACTGCTACAAGGGTCTGAATGATTGTCCCGCAATTAGGATTCCAGAACACTGCTGCTGGCGTCTAAATGTTTGTCCGTCACACAGGATTCCAGAACAGTGCTAGGAGGATCTGAATGTTTGTTCCTCACAGGTGATTCCAGAACACTCCTGCTGTGGGTCTGAATGTTTTTCTCTCACACATGATTGCAGAACAGTGGTAAGAGAGTCTGAAAGTTTGTACCTCACACAGAATACCAGAACACTGCTACGAGGTCCTGAATCATTGTCCTCACATAGGATTCCAGAACACTGCTCCTGGGGTCTGAATGTTTCTCCCTCACATGAGATTCGAGGACACTGCTGCTGGGGTCTACATGTATGTCCGTCAGATAGGATTCCAGAGCACTCCTGCTGGGTTCTGAGTGTTTCTCCCTCACATAGAATTCCAAACACTGCGAGGAAGGTCTGAATGTTTGTCCGTCACATAGGATTCGTGAACACTCACACTGTTGTTTGAATGTTTGTCTCACACATAGGATTCCAGAACACTGCTCCTGGTGTCTGAATCACATAGGATTCCAGAATAATCCTATGAGGGTCTGAATATATGTTCCTCATATAGGATTCCAGAATAACCCTACGAGGGTCTGAATATGTTTTTCCTCACATAGGATTCCAGAACACTGCTGCTGGTGTCTAAATGTTTGTCTACTTGTTAGGATTCCAGAACACTCTCGCTGTTGTTTGAATGTTTGTCCTTCACATAGGATTCCAGCACACTGCTGCTGGGATCTCAATGTTTGTCCCTCACATAGGATTCCAGAACACTGCTACGATATTCTGAAAGTTTGTTCCTCACAGAGGATTCCACAACACTGCTGCTGTGGTCTGAAAGTTTGTCTCTTGCATTGGATTCCAGAACACTGCTATGAGTGTCTGAATGTTTGTCTGACACATAGGATTCCAAAACACTCCTGCTCTGTTCTGAGTGTTTGTCCCTCACATAGGACTCCAGTATAATCCTGCTGTGGTCTGAATCTTTGTCCCTCACATAGCGTTCCAGAACAGTGCTGCTGGGTTCTGAGTGTTTGTTCCTACATAGGACTCCGGAACACTGCTTCTAGCGTCTGAATGTTTTTTGCTCACACGGGATTCCAGAACACTGCTGATGGGGTCTAAATGTTTGTCCATCACATAGGATTCCAGAACACTGCTACGAGGGTATGAATGTTTTTCCTCACAGGGGATTCCAGAACACGCCTACTGTTGTCTGAATGTTTCTCCCTCACATAGCTTTCCAGAACACTGCTATGAGTGTCTGAATGTTTGTCTCTCACACAAAATTCCAGAACACTCTTACGAGGGTCTGAATGATTGTCCCTGACTTGGGATTCCACAATAATGCTGTTGCGGTCTGAATGCTTGTCCCTCACATAGGATTCCCGAACACAGCTGCTGAGGTCTACATGTGTGTCTGTCATAGAGGATTCCAGAACACTGCTTCTGGGTTCAGAGTGTTTCTGCCTCACACAGAATTCCAGAAAACTGCGACGAGGTTCTGAATGTTTGTCCCTCACATGGGATTCCAGAATAACTCTACTAAGGTCTGAATGTTTGTGCCTCTCATAGGATTCCACAACACTGCTGCTGGTTTCTAAATGTTTGTCCATTACCTAGGATTGCAGAACACTCTCGCTGTTGTATGAATGTTTGTCTCTCACATAGGATTCCAGAACATTGGTGCTGAGTTCTGAATGTTTGTCTCTCACATAAGATTCCAGAACATTGGTGCTGAGTTCTGAATGTTTGTCTCTCACATAAGATTCCAGACCACTGCTGTGATTTTCTGAAAGTTTGTCCCTCACATAGGATTCCGCAGCACTGCAAAGAGGGTCTGAATGTTTTGTCCCTCACATAGGATTCCAATACTCTCCCGCTGTTTTCTGTTTTTCCCACACATGGGATCCCAAAGCAATCCTGCTGTGGTCTGAATGTTTGTCCCTCACATCGGGTTCCAGAACACTGGTGCTGGTTTCTGAGTGTTTGCCCCTCAGATAGGATTCCAGAACTCTGCTACGAAAGTCTGAATGTTTGTCCCTCACACAGGATTCCAGAACACTTTTGCTGGGGTCTAAATGTTTGTCCCTCACATAGGATTCCAGAACACTGCTGCTAGGGTCTGAATGTTTTTTCCATACAGGGGATTCCAGAATACTCCTGCTGTGTTCGGAATGACTATCCCTCACACAGGATTCCAGTACACTGCCACGATGGTCTGAATGTTTGCCCCTCACGCAGAATTCCAGAACACTACTACGAGAGTCTGAATGATGGTCCCTCACAGAGGATTCCAGAACACTGCTGCTGGAGTCTGAATGTTTGTCCGTCACATAGGATTCCGGAACACCGCTGCTGGGGTCTATGTGTACGTCCGTCACACAGGATTCCAGAACACAGCTGCTGGGTTCTGTGTGTTTCCCCCTCACTTGAATTCCAGAGCACTGTGACAAGGGTCTGAATGTTTGTCAGTAACATACTATTTCAGAACACTCCCGCTGTTGTTTGAATGTTTTTCCCTCACATAGGATTCCAGAACACTGCTACTGGGGTCTGAATGTTTTTCCCTAGCATAGGATTCCAGAACACTGCTACGATTGTCTGAATGTTTGTCCCTCACTTAGGATTCCAGAACACTGCTACGAGTGCCTGAATGTTTCTCCATCACATAGCATTCCAAAACAATCCTGCTGTGTTCTCAGTGTTTGTCCCTCACATATGGTTCCAGAACACGGCTGCTGGGTTCTGAGTGTTTGTCCCTTTATAGGATTCTAGAACACTGCTCCGAGGGTGTGAATGTTTGTCCCTCACACAGGATTCCAGAACACTGCTGCTGGGGTCTAAATGTTTGTCTGTCATATAGGATTCCAGAACACTGCTACGAGGGTCTGAATGTTTCTTCCTCACAGAGGATTCCAGAACATGCCTGCTGTGGTCTGAATGTTTGTCCCTCACATAGGTTTCCAGAACACTGCTATGAGGGTCTGAATGTTTGTCCATCACACGGAATTCCAGAACACAGCTACGAGGGTCTGAGTGATTGTCCCTCACACAGGATTCCAGAACACTGCTGCTGCCGTCTGAAAGTTTGTCCCTCACATAGGATCCCAGAGCACTGCTACTGATGTCTGCATGTATGTCTGTCGCTAAGGATTCCAGAACACTGCTGGTGGGTTCTGAGTGTTTCTCCCTCACATGTAATTCAAGAAGACTGCGACGAGGATCTGAATGTTTGCCCGTAACAAAGGATTCCAGAACATTCCCGCTGTGATTTTAATGTTCGTCCCTCACATAGGATTCCAGAACAATGCTGCTGGGGTCTAAATATTTGTCCGTCACAAAGGATTCTAGAACACTGCTATGATTGTCTCAATGTTTTTCTCTCACATAAGATTCTAGAACACTATACTGAGGGTCCTAATGTTTGTCCTTCCCACAGGATTCCAGAACACTGCTCCTGTTGTCTAAATATTTGTCCTTTACCTAGGATTGCAAAACACTCCCTCTGTTGTTTGAATGTTTGTCCCTCACATTGGATTCCAGAACACTGCTGCTGGGTTCTGAATGTTTGTCCCTCACCTAGGATACCAGACCACTGCAACGATTTTCTGAAAGTTTGTCCCTCACATAGGATTCCAGAACATTGCTGCTGCAGTCCAAATGTTTGTCCGTCACATAGGATTCCAGAACATTGCTGCGAGGGTCTGAATGTTTGTTCCTCACATAGGATTTGAGAACACTTAGTGTTCCAGAACACTCCTGCTGTGGTCTGAATGTTTGTCCCACAGATAGGCTTCCATAACACTGCTATGAAGTAATTAAGGTTTCTCCATCACACAGAATTCCGGAACACTGCTACGTGGGTCTGAACGATTGTCCCTTATGCAGAACTCCAGAACACAGCTATGAGAGTCTGAATGATTGTCCCTCAAATAGGATTAAAGAACACTGCTGCTGGGGTCTGAATGTTTGTCCCACACATCGGATTCCAGAACACTGCTGCTGTATTCTCAGTGTTTTTCCCTCACATAGAATACCAGAACACTGCTACGATGGTCTGAATGTTTGTCCGTAACATAGGATTCCAGAACAATCCCGCTGTTGTTTGAATGTTTGAACCCCACATAGGATTCCAGAACAATGCTGCTGGGGTCTGAATGTTTGTCCCTCACATAAGACTCCAGAACAATGCTACGATTGTCTGAATGTTTGTCCCTCACATAGGATTCCTGAACAGTGCTACTAGGGTCTGAATGTTTGTCCCTCAGATAGGATTCCAAAACACTACTGATGTGTTCTGGGTGATTGTCCCCCACATAGGGTTCCAGAACAACCCTGCTGTCGTCTGAATATCTGTCCCTCAAATAGGGTTACAGAACACTGCTAGGAGGGTCTGAATGTTTGTTCCTCACAGGGGATTCCAGAACTCTCCTGCCATCATCTGAATAATAGTACCTCACACAGGATTGCAGAACACTGCTACGAGGGTCTGAATGTTTGCCCCTCACACAAAATTCCAGAACACTGCTTCGAGGGTCTGAATGATGGTGCCTCACATAGGATTCCAGAACACTGCTGCTGGGTTCTGAATGTTTGTCCCTCACAAAGGATTGCAGGACAATGCTGCTGGGGACTGAATGTTTGCCCCAATATAGGATTCCACAACTCTACTGCTCTGGTCTAAATGTATGTCCGTCACATCAGATTCCAGAACAATACTGCTGGTTTCTCAGTGTTTCTCCATCACATAGAATTCCAGATCACCGCGAGGAGTCTCTGAATGTTTGTCCATAACATTGGATTCCAGAACACTGCTGCTGGGTTCCGAATGTTTGTCCCTCACCGAGGATTCCAGAACACTGCTACGATTGTCTGAATGTTTGTCTCTCATATAAGATTCCAGAACACTCCTAAGAGGGTCTGAATGTGTGTCCCTCACATAGATTTCCAGGACACTACTACTATTGTCTGAATATTTGTCCCACACTTAGGATTCCAGAACACTGCTACGAGGGTCTGAATGATTGTATCTCATACAGAATTCCAGAACACTGCTACGAGGATCTGAATGATTGTCCCTCACATAGGATTCGAGAACACTGTGACGAGGTGCTGAATGTTTGTCTCTCACATAGGATCCCAGAACACTGCTGCTGGGGTCTATATGTGTGTCCGTCACATAGGATTCCAAAACCCTGCTACTGTGTTCTGGCTGTTTCTCCCTGACATAGAATTCCAGAACACTGCGACGAGGTTCTGAATGTTTGTCCGTAACATAGGATTCCAGAAAACTCCCCCCCGTGATTTATATGTTTGTCCCTCACATTGGATTCCAGAACACTGCTGCTGGGTTCCGAATGTTTGTCCTTCACGGAGGACTCCAGAACACTGCTACAATTGTCTGAATGTTTGTCCCTCACATAAGATTCCAGAACACTGCTGCTGTGGTCTGCATGTATGTTCATCACATAGGATTCCAGAAAACTGCTGCTGGGCTCTGAATGTTTCTCTCTCAAATAGAATTCCAGAACACTGCCACAAGGTTCTGAATGTGTGTCCATAACATAGGATTCCAGAACACTTCCACTGTTGTTCGAAGGTTTGTCGATCACATAGGATTCCAGAACACTGCTACAATTGTCTGCATGTTTGTCCCTCACATAGGATTCCAGGACACTACTACGAGGGTCTCAAAGTTTGTCCCTCACATAGGATTCCACAACACTCCTGCTGTGTTCTGAGTGTTTGCTCCTCACATAGGATTCCAGAACAATCCTTCTGTGTTCTGAATATTTGTCTCTCTCTTAGGATTCCAGAACACTGCTTCGATTGTCTGAATGTTTGTCCCTCCCACAGGATTCCAATACACTGCTATGATGGTCTGTATGTTTTTCCCTCACGTAGGATTCCAGAACACTGCTGCTGGGGTCTAAATGTTTGTTCATCACATAGGATTCCAGAACACAGCTATGAGAGTGGAAATGCTTGTACCTCACATGAGATTCCAGAACACTCCTGCTGTGGTCTTAAAGCAAGTCCCTCACATAGATTCCAGAACATTCCTACAAGGGTCTGAATGTTTGTCACTAACATAGGATTTCAGAACACCGCTGCTGGGGTCTAAATGTTTGTCCGTCACATAGAATTCCAGAACACTGCTATGAAGGTCTGAACGTTTGTTCCTCACTGGGGATTCCAGAACAATCCTGCTGTGGTCTGAATGTTTGTCCTTCACACAGGATTCCAGAACACTGCTACGAGCATACGAATGATTGTCTGCAACATAGTATTCCAAAACACTGTTACGAGTGTCTGAATGTTTGTCCCTCACATAGTATTCCAGAACACTGCTAAGATTGTCTGAATGTTTGTCACTCACGTAGGATTCCAGAACCCTGCTATGAGTGTCAGAATGTTTGTCCCTCACATAGGATTCCAAAACACGCCTGCTGTGCTCTGAGTGTCAGTCCCTCATGTAGGATTCCAGAACAATCCTGCTGTGTTCTGAATGGTTGCCCCTCACATATAGTTACAGAACACTGCTGCTCGGTTCTGAGTGTTTGTCCATCACATGGGATTCCAGAACACAGCTGTGAGGGTCTGATTGTTTTTCCCTTACAAAGGATTGCAGAACACTGCTGCTGGAGTCTAAAAGTTTCTCCGTCACACACTATTCCAGAGCACTCCTATGAGGGTTTGAATGTTTGTCCCTCATTTAGGATTCCACAACACTTCTGCTGGGGTGTGAATGTTTGTCCCTCACACAAAATTGTAGAACACTGCTATGACGATCTGAAAGATTGTCCCTCATTTAGGATTCCAGAACACTCCTGCTGTTTTCTGAGTGTTTGTCCCTCATTTAGGATTCCAGAACACTCCTGCTGTTTTCTGAGTGTTTGTCCCTCACATAGGATTCCAAAACTATCCTCCTGTCGTCGGAATATTTATCTCTCACATAGGGTTTCAGAACACTGCTGCAGGGTTCTGAGTGTTTGTCCCTCACATAGGATTCCAGAACACTGCTGCTGGGGTCTAGATTTTTGTCCGTCACACCGGATTCCAGAACCCTCCTATGAGGGTCTGAATGTCTGTTCCTCACAGGGGATTCTGGAACACTCCTGCTGTGGTCTCAATGTTTTTCCCTCACACAGGACTACAGAACACTGCTACGGGCATCAGAATGTTTGTCCCTCACACAGAATTCCAGAACACTGGTACGAGTGTCTGAATGACTTTCCTTCACATAGGATTCCAGAACACTGTTGCTGGGGTCGTAATGTTTGTCTCTCACATAGGATTCTAGAATAGAGCTGCTGGGGTCTACAGGTATGTCCGTCGCATAGGATTCCAGAACACTGATGTTGGGTTCTGAGTGTTTCTCCCTCACATAGAATTCCAGAACACCGCTACGAGGGTCAGAATGTTTGTCCATAACATAGGATTCCTGAACAATCCCGCTGTTGTTTGAATGTTTGTCCCTCACATAGGATTCCGGAACACTGCTACAATTGTCTGAATGTTTGTCCCTCACATAATATTCCAGAACAATGCTACGACTGTCTGAACGTTTGTTCCTCACAGGGGATTACAGAACACTGCTACGATTGTCTGAATGCTTGTCCCTCACATAGGATTCCAGAACAATGCTATGATTGTCTGAATGTTTGTCCATCACATACCATTCCAGAACACTGCTATGAAGGTCTGAATGTTTGTCCCTCACATGGGATTCCAGAACACTGCTACGATTGTCTGAATGCTTGTCCCTCACATAGGATTCCAGAACAATCCTGCTGTTGTCTGAATGTTTGTCCCTCACGTTGGATTCCAGAACACTGCTACCAGTGTCTGAATGTTTGTCCCTCACACGGGATTCCAGAACACTGCAATGACAGCTTGAATATTTGTCCCTCACACAGAATTCCAGAGCACTGCTATGGGGTTCTGAATGATTGTCCAACACATAGGATTACAGAACACTGTTGTTGGGGTCTGAATGTTTGTCCCTCACACAGGATTCCAGAACACTGCTATGAGGGTCGGAATGATTTTCCCTCACAGAGGATTTGAGAACACTCCTGCTGTGTTCTGAATGTTTGTCCCTCACATAGGATTTCAGAAAATTGCTATGAGGTTCTGAATGTTTTACCCTCACACAGAATTCCAGAACACTGCTACGAGAGTCTGAATGATTGTCCCTCACATAAGATTCCATAACACTGCTGCAGGCTTCTGAATGTTTGTCCCTCACATAGGATTCCAGAACCCCCCTGCAGGGGTCTGCATGTATGTCCGTCGCATAGGTTTCCAGAACACTGCTGCTGTGTTCTGAATGTTTCTACCTCACATAGAATTCCAGAACACTGCCACGATGGTCTGAATATTTGTCCGTAACACAGGATTTCAGAACACTCCCGCTGTTATTTGAATGTTTATCCCTCACATTAGATTCCAGAACACTGCTTCGAGGATCTGAATGTTTGTCCCTCACATAGGATTCCAGAACACTGCTACGAGGGTCTCAATGTTTTTCCTTCACATAGGATTCCAACACACTCCTGCTGTGTTCTGAGTGTTTGTCCCTCTCATAGGATTCGAAGGCAATCTTTCTGTGGTATGAATGTTTTTCCCTCACATAGGGTTCCAGAACAATGCTGCTGGGTTCGGAGTGTTTGTCTCTCACTTAGGATTCCAGAACACTGCTACCAGTGTCTGAATGCTTGTCCCTCACATAGGATTCCGGAACATTTCTGCTGGGTTCTGAATGTTTGTCCCTCTCAAAGGATTCCAGAACTCTGGTACAAGTTTCTGAATGTCTGTCTCTCATATGTGATTCCATAACACTGCTTCAGTTGTCTAAATGTTTGTCCGTCATATAGGTTTCCAGAACACTGCTAGGAGGATCTGAGTGTTTATTTCTCACAGGGAATTCCAGAAGACTCCTGCTGTTGTCTGAATGATTGTCTCTTACACAGGATTCCAGAAGACTGCAACGAGGGTCTGAATGTTTGAGCCTCATGTAGGATTCCAGAACAATGGTGCTGAGGTCTGAATCTTTGTCCCTGACATAGTGATTAAGAAAACTGCTAAGAGGGTCTGAATGTTTATCCCTCATGTAGGATTCCAGAACTCTGCTCCTGGGGTCTGAAAGTTTGTCTCTCACATAGGATTCCAGGACACTGCTGCTGGGGTGTACGTGTATCTCCGTCATATAGGATTCCAGAACACTGCTGCTGGATTCTGAGTGTTTCTCCATCACATAGAATTCCAGAACACTGCCACGAGGGTCTGAGTGTTTGTCCATAACTTAGGATTCCAGAACACTCTCGCTGTTGTTTGAATGTTTGTCCCTCACATAGGATTCCAGAACACTGCTGCTGTGGTCTGAATGTTTGCCCCTCACATAGGATTCCAGAACACTGCTACTATTGTCTGAATGTTTGTCTCCTACATAGGATTCCAGAACAATGCTGCTGGATTCTATATGTTTGTTCGTCACATAGGATTGCAGAACACCCCTACGACAGTCTGAATGTTTGTCCCTCACAGGGGATTCCAGAACACTCCTGCTGTAGTCTGAGTGTTTGTCCCTCACATGGGTTTTCCAGAACACTCCTGCTGAGGTCTGAATGATTGTCCCTCACATAAGATTCCAGAAAACTGCTAAGAGGGTCTGAATGTCCCTCACATAGGATTTCAGAACACTGCTGCTGTGGTCTAAATCTTTGTCCGTCACATAGGATTCCAGAACACTGCCACGAGGGTCTGAATGTTTTTCCCACAGAGGGGATTCCAGAACGGTGTGGTCTGAATGTTTGTCCCTCATACAGGGTTCCCGAACACCGCTACGAGGGAATGAATGCTTGTCCCTCACAAAGGATTCCAGAAAACTGCTACGATTGTCTGAGTGTTTGCCCCTCACATAGGATTCCGGAACACAGCTATGAGGGTTTGATTGTTTGGCCCTCATGTAGGATTCCAAAACACACTTACGGTTTTCAGAGTGTTTCTCCCTCACATAGGATTGCAGAACAATCCTGCCGTGTTCTTAATGTTTGTCCCTCATACAGAGTTCCAGAACACTGCTGCTCGGTTCTGAATGTTTGTCCCTCACATAGGATTCCAGAACACCGCTGCTGGTGTCTACATGTATGTCCCCCCACAGGATTCCAGAACACAGCTGATAGGTTCTACTTGTTTCTCCCTCACATAGAATTCCAGAACACTGCAACGAGGGTCTGAATGTTGGTCCGTAACATAGGATTCCAGAAGATTCCCTCTGTTGTTTGAATGTTTGTCCCTCAAATAGGATTGCAGAACACTTCTGCTGTGGTCTAAAAATTTGTACCTCACAGAGGATTCCTGAATAGTACTAAGATTGTCTCAGTGTTTGTCCCTCACATAGAATTCAAAGCATTCCGACGAGGGCCTGAATGTGTGTCCCTCACATTGGATTACAGAACACTGCTACTATTGTCTGAATGTTTATCCCACACATTGGATTCCAGAACACTGCTTCGAGGGTCTGAATGTTTGTCCCTCACATAGGATTCCAGAACATTGCTTCTGGGGTCTAAATGTTTGTCTCTCACTTAGGATTCCAGAACACTGCTACAGAGGTCTGAATGTTGGGTCCTCACAGGGGATTCCAGAACACTCCTGCTGTGGTCTGAATGTCAATCACATGGGATTCCAGAACACTGCTACGAGGGTCTGAATGTTTGTCCCTCACATAGGATTCCAAAACACTCCTGCAGTATTCTGAGAGTTTGTTCCTCACATAGAATTCCAGAGCATACCAGATCTGGTCTGAATCCTTATCCCTTACATAATTTTCCAGAACACCGCTGCTTGGTTCTGAGAGTTTGTCTCTCAGATAGGATACCAGAACACTGCTACGAGGGTCTCAATATTTGTCCCTCACATTGCATTCCAGAATACTGCTGCTGGCGTCTAAATGTTTGTCAGTCACATAAGATTTCAGAACACTGTTAGGGGAGTCTGAATGTTTGTTCCTCACAGGAGATTCCAGAACACTCCTGCTGTGGTCTGAATGTTTCTCTCTAACATAGGATTCCAGAACACTGCTATGGGGTCTGAATGTTTGTCCCTCACGCAGAAATCCAGGACACTGCTATGAGGATCTGAATGTTTGTCCCTTACATAGGATTCCAAAACACTCCTGCTGTTTTCTGAGTGTATGTTACTCACATAGGAGTCCAGAACAATCCTGCTGTTGTCTGAATGTTTGTCCCTCACATAGGGTTGCCCCTCCACACCTGTGGGTTTTTCTTGTTAGGTGGAATGAGAGACATGGAAAAGAAAAAGACACAGAGACAAAATATAGAGAAAGAAATAAGGGGACCCAGGGAACCAGCGTTCAGCATATGGAGGATCCCGCCAGCCTCTGAGTTCCCTTAGTATTTATTGATCATTTGTGGGTGTTTCTCCGAGAGGGTGATGTGTCAGGGTCACAAGACAATAGTGGGGATAGGGTCAGCAGACAAACACGTGAACAAAGGTCTTTGCATCATAGACAAGGTAAAGAATCAAGTGCTGTGCTTTTAGATATGCATACACATAAACATCTCAATGCTTTACAAAGCAGTATTGCTGCCCGCATGTCCCACCTCCAGCCCTAAGGCGGTTTTTCCCTATCTCAGTAGATGGGACGTACAATCGGGTTTTATACCGAGACATTCCATTGCCCATGGACGGGCAGGAGACAGATGCCTTCCTCTTGTCTCAACTGCAAGAGACATGCCTTCCTCTTATACTAATCCTCCTCAGCACAGACCATTTACGGTTGTCGGGCTGGGGGACGGTCAGGTCTTTCCCTTCCCATAAGGCCATATTTCAGACTATCCCATGGGGATATACCTTGGACAATACCTGGCTTTCCTAGGCAGAGGTCCCTGCGGCCTTCAGCAGTTTTTGTGTCCCTGGGTACTTGAGATTAGGGAGTAGTGATGACTCTTAAGGAGCATGCTGCCTTCAAGCAACTGTTTAACAAAGCACATCTTGCACAATACTTAATCCATTTAACCCTGAGTTTGACACAGCACATATTTCAGAGAGCACGGGGTTGGGGGTAAGGTCATAGATTAACAGAATCTCAAGGCAGAATAATTTTTCTTAGTACAGAACAAAATGGAGTCTCCTATGTCTACTTCTTTCTACACAGACACAGTAACAATCTGATCTCTCTTGCTTTTCCCCACATTTCCCCTTTTCTTTTCGACAAAACCGCCATCGTCATCATGGCCCGTTCTCGATGGTCTCTGTCTCTTCCGAGCTGTTGGGTACACCTGCAGACCAACAACAGACAAAACAGGCACACAAGGATTAATATGAGATTTACAATCGTAGTACTTCTGATGGTCTTAACCCAAGTGACAGGGTTAAGATTTGCGAGGCCATCAGCAACTCCTGCAATTGCCTCAGTTCCTGGCACCAAATTTAAATGGGCTTTTGATGTTTTGAAAATTTGTTCTTTTAACTTGGAAATGTCTAAAGTGAGATTATCTTCTCTTCCCTGTAGATGACGTCTAACCATGTCCCAGTGATGCTCAGACTCATTATAAATTTGGGGTGTAATACAAAAATCTGATGTATTCCAGTCACACTGTAACTGGAAACGATGTTCTAAGCTCATGAGTCTGTCTCCCATCCAAATGACAGTTTGTCTAAGATCATTAATTTGATTTGCCAATTTTTGATCAATACCAGATTGTGAATTCCACAATCATGTAGAATTTTTTGTCAATCATTAACAAATTTTACTGACTGAACAGAAGAGTGCAATGCAACTCCTGCCACAGCAGCCATAGCTGTGACTGCAATTAATCCCATAATCACTGCAATTAAAGTAAAAATGAATCTTTTGGATCTATTTAAAACGCCTTTTAATACTTCAGTCAAAATATGGATGGATGGCGAGGCCTCCCATGGTCGGTCCATGGACACAGGGATCCACACGCCTTCTCTTGCTCTCACCAGCAGAATACGGTGTTGCCAATTAAAAGTTGAATCAATGCAAGTAAACAATCTACAATTTTCACAGGTTTTAGTTTGAGAGTCTGGTTTAATAACTATATTTCCTACAACTAGCATATAAGGGGGCTTTACACAACTTCGTAAAGGAACCGTTAGACTGGAATTTAGGTAGATAGTATAAAATGGCTTACGATCTCTTGTTTCTAAAGTTTGATTTCCAGACCAAATCCTAATGTGGTATGAGGCTGCAGTAAGCCTCCACAATTCTGGATGTTCAGGACCAGAAACAGGACTTATTATTTTTGGTCTTGGGTTAGAGATTCCTTTTTCTCCCCATACCAAGGGTAGAAAGACTGTAATTTTTTATGCTTATGTTTGTCTAGACTTTCTGTTAAGTCGCTATCAACAGCTGGACTCACTTGTGCACTTGGACATGACTGAGTTTGTCCTGAGCAATTGTGGTAGAATTGACCTCGAGGTGCCCAATCTATAACAGTTCGGAATTCATTGTTTTGTAATATCACCGCACTATTGGCCACACATTCTTCCCAAACTAAAACTTCTGTATTTTTTGATCCTTTGGGAATTTCCTTGGGGCAAGGTTTCCCTTTAGGTCTAAATTTTAATGATCTTTGATAAGAAAAGTCTTGTAAATAATTTACCCGTGGCCTGAGTGACATCCCGCTTACCATGTGATAAGTGAGTCTACTGTTAGGACCGGCAGTAGGTACTTCTACCAACCAATTTTGGAATGCAGGCATTAAGCATCCTGGTGCTCTTCCTAGGCAAATAGGAGGATAACGATACCCAATGGAAATATTTATCATCATCCCTTCTTCCTCAGGTTTGGCAGGGCAGTGATCATCTGTGGGGCCAGGTACCCATACACTATCCTTAACATTTAATTCTATAGGATTATCCATCCATGTGAGTGGTGTTACCGTCTCCGTGGAGGCGCTTTTCTTTGCATCTCTGATGGGTTCATTGTAGAACTTCAAATGTCTAGTAGGTATCCAAACAGGAAGCTGATTTTCTCCTGGTGAAACACAAGCAAAACCTCTCCCCACGTTATTACTTTCCCTATTTCCCATGTCTTATTTTTATTATCTTTCCACCAAATCAGTTTTCCTTCATGTGGGCTGTTCTTTTTACCAGTAAGATGTTGTTCTGCAGAAGTAGTAGTCTGATTTCTATAAATGTTTAAAAAATTTAAAGTATAGAGTGCTAGATTAAGTTGCATCTGAGGAGTGGTACACTCCTTACTGTCTCCCCCTTCTTTTTGTTTAACTAATTGAGTTTTGAGTGTTCTATTAGTTCTTTAAACTATGGCCTGTCCTTGGGAATTATAAGGAATTCCTGTTGTATGTGAAATTTTCCATTGACTTGAGAATTTTTGGAAAGCTTTACTACAATATCCTGGTCCATTGTCAGTTTTGATTTTTTCTGGAACTCCCATTACAGTACAACAAGAAAATAAATGTTTTTTAACACGGGAAGTACTTTCTCCTGTTTGGCAACTTGCCCATATGAAATGTGAATAAGTTTTAACTGTTACATGAACATATGATAATCTTCCAAATGAAGGTACATGTGTGACATCCATTTGCCATAATGCATTAGGACACTGACCGCTGGGATTAACTCCTGCCTCTTGAGTGGGCAGGTGTGAGACTTGACACTGGGTGCAATGTTGTACAATATCTTTTGCCTGTTTCCATGTGACATCAAATTTGTTTTTTAATCCTGCTGCATTTACATGAGTCAAAGCATGAAGTTCTTGTGCTTTTATGAATGCAGATGATACCAGTAAGTCAGCTTGTTCATTTGCTTTAGTCAAAGGCCCTGGTAAATTAGTGTGTGCTCGAATATGAGTAATATAAAATGGGAAATTTCTTTTTCTTACAGTTTGTTGTAATAAACTGAATATCTGGTTTAACTGATCGTCCATGCTATATTTAATTAGAGCTGTCTCAACATCCCTTGTAGCCTGTACTACATATGCAGAATCTGATATAATATTGATAGGTTGATCAAAATCTTGGAACACTGTAATGACTGCAACCAACTCTGCTCTTTGAGCCGATTGAAATGGAGCTGTGATTACTCTTTCTTTTGGCCCTGTGTAAGCTGCTTTTCCATTGCTGGAACCATCAGTAAATAGTGTTAGAGCATTTTCTAAAGGTTCACATCTGGTAATTTTAGGTAGAATCCAAGTAGTTAATTTTAAAAATTGGAAGATTTTTGTTTTCGGGTAATGATAATAAACAATTTCCACAAAATTAGCAAGATCAATTTGCCATGCACCAGAATTGATAAAGGCTTGTCTAATTTGTTTCTTGGTTAAAGGACAACTATTTTGTCTGGGTCATTTCCACATAATTTTATTATTCGTAATCTTGTCTGACCAATTAATGTAGCTATATGATCCAAATACAATTTAAACGTCTTAACTGTACTGTGAGGAAGGAATGACCACTCCACAAGATCAGTATTTTGAACAATGATGCCTGTTGGAGAATGTGCAGTAGCAAAAATCAAAAGTTGGAGTGGGGCTAAGGGATCTATTCTATTTATTTGCACTGACTGAAATTTTTCTTCCACTAATTTAATTTCTTTTGTTGCCTCTGGGGTTAACATTCTTTTACTATTTAAATCTGAGTCTCCTCTTAAGATAGAGAACAAATTTGACATGGCATAAGTAGGAATGCCTAGAGTTGGCTGAATCCAATTAATATCTCCTAGCAATTTTTCAAAATCATTTAGTGTTTTTAATGTGTCTTTTCTTATTTCTATTTTTTGTGGCTTAATTTTTCTATTTTCTATCTGCATCCCTAAATAATGAAAAGGAGTAGAGGTTTGGATATTATCAGATGCTATTGCCAGTCCTGCGTTGGCAACCTCTGCTTGTAGAAATGTATAACAGTCAATTAATTTATCTCTTGTTTCTGCAGCACATAAAATATCATCAAAATAATGAATGATATAACAGTCTGAAAACTTGTCTCTAACTGGTTGAAGAGCTCGACCTACAAAAGTCTGACAAATAGTTGGACTATTAAGCATTCCCTGAGGTAACACTTTCCACTGAAACCTGGTGGCTTGTTCTTTATTATTTATGGCTGGTATAGTAAAGGCAAATTTTTCACAATCCTGCTCTGCCAGAGGGATGGTAAAAAAGCAATCCTTTAGATCAATTATAATTAAAGGCCAGTCTTTTGGGATCATGGCCGGAGAGGGCAACCAGGGTTGGAGAGGCCCCATGGGTTGAATTACGGCGTTTATGGCCCTTAAGTCAGTTAACATACGCCATTTGCCAGATTTCTTCTGAATTACAAACACAGGAGAATTCCAAGGCGAGAATGAAGGCTCAATATGTCCCTTTCCTAACTGTTCATTTGCTAATAAATGTAAAGCCTCCAGTTTTTGTTTTGGTAGCAGCCACTGATTCACCCACACCGGTTTTTCTCTTTTCCAAGTTAATGCTATGGGTTTAGGAGGCTCTACAGTGGCCGCCCCTAAGAAGGATACCCTAATTCCTTCTCTTTCTTGATTTATTTTAGCCTCAACTGGAACTTTAATGCCATCTTCATTTTATTCCTAGTCCCTTTCCTGGTATACATCCCATCTTGGTCATGATTTTTTGACTCGTGGGGCTATATAATGGAGTGGGCATAGTGATTTCCGCACCCCATTGTTGTAATAAATCTCGACCCCACAGATTAAGAGGAATTGAAGTAATCATTGGCTGAACAGTACTTTCTTGATTATCTGGCCCTAAACAATGTAAAATCTCAGTACTTTGATACACTTCTGAGGCTGTGCCTACGCCGACAAGTCCTGTAACAGCCTTTTGTTTAGGCCAATTTTTTGGCCAGTGATTTGCTTTAGCAATGATAGAGACATCTGCTCCAGTGTCTACTAACCCTTCAAACTGTTTTCCTTGAATAATGGCCTTACACACAGGTCTGTTTTCTGAGACCTGACTTGCCCAATATGCAGCCTTTCCTGTCAGATCAGTGCTTCCAAACACTCCTGTTCTTTTTATTTCACTATTTCCAACCTTAATATAAGGCAGGAGTCATAATTGAGCAATCCTGTATCCTGGACTGGCATTCCAAGGAATTGAAGAGCTAATAACCAATTGAATTTCGCCTTTATAATCTGAATCAACCACACCAGTATGAATTTGAACTCCCTTTAGATTTAGACTTGATCTTCCCAAGATTAGTCCTACAGTCCCCTCAGGCAGTGGGCCACATACCCCTGTGGGGATTTTTTGTTTGGGGGTTCCCCTGGAAGCAGAGAGACTGCTTGTATAGTACATAAATCTACTTCTGCACTGCAGCTTGTGGCAGGGGAAAATTGTTGTATTGTGGTAACTGGGTATATGTCCCTCACGTACGAATCCAGAACACTGCCATGTGGGTCTAATATTTGGCCCTCACATAGGATTCCAGAACGCTGCTACGAGGGTCTGAAAGTTTGTCCCGCACATAGGACTCCAGAACACTTCTGCTGTTTTCTGAATGTTTCTCCCTCACATAGGATTCTAGAACAATGCTACGAGGGTCTGAATGTTTGTCCCACATGTTGGATTCCAGAACACCTTAGCTGTGGTGTGAATGATTGTCCCTGACATACGATTCCAGAACATTGCTGCAGGGTTCTGCGTGTTTCTCCCTCACATAAGATTCCAGAACACTGCTACGAGGGGATGAATGACTGAACCTCACATAGGATTCCAGAACACTCGTGCTATTGTCTGAGGGTTTGTCCCTCATATAGTATTCCCGAACACAACTGCTGTGGTCTAAATGTTTGTTCCTCGCATAGGATTTCAGAACACTCCTGCTGTCATCTGAATATTTGTACTTCACATAGGATTCCAGAACACTCCTCCTGTTGGGTTCTGAATGTTTTTCCCTCATGTAGGATTCCAGAACACAGATACATGGGTCGAAATGATTCTCCCTCACATAGGATTCGAGAACACTGCTTTGAGTTTCTGAATATTTGTCCCGCACATAACATTCCAGCACACTTCTGCTGTGGTATAAATGTTTGTTCCTCACATTAGATTTCAGAGGACTCCTACTGTCGTCTGAATGTTTGTGACTCACTTAGGATTCCAGAGCACCCTTGTTGTGGAGTGAATGTTTGTCCCTCACTTAGGATTCCAGAACACTGCTCTTGGGTTCTCAGTGTTTGTCCCACATGTAGGATTCCAGAACACTGCTACGTGGGTCTAAAGGTTTGTGCCTCACATAGGATTCCAGAATACTGCTACGAGGATCTGAATGTTTGTCCCCCACATAGGATTCCACAACACTCCTGCTGTGGTCTAAATGTTTGTTCCTCACACGGGTTTCAGATCACTCCTGCTGTGGTCTAAAAGTTTGTTCCTCACATATTATTTGAGATCACTGCTGCTGTCGTCTGAATTTTTGTCCCTCACATAGGATTCCACAACACTACTGCTGTGGACTGAATGTATGTCCCTCTCTTAGGATTCCAGAACACTGCTGTTTTGAGTGTTTGTCCCTCACGTAGGATTCCAGAACACTGTTACGTGGGTCTGAATGTTCTTCCCTCAGATAGGATTCCAGAACACTGCTACGAAGTTGTGAATGTTTGTCTTGCACATAGGATTCCAGAACACTCCTGCTGTGTTCTAAATGTTTGTTCCTCACAAAGGATTTCGGAACAATCTTGCTGTCGTCTGAATGTTTGTCCCTCACATAGAATTCCAGAGCACTCCAGCTGTGATCTAAATGTTTGTTTCTCAGGTAGGATTTCAGAACACCCCTGCTGTCTTCAGAAGGTTTGTCCCTCACATGGGATTCCAAAACACTCCTGCTGTGGTCTGAAAGTTTGTTCCTCACTTAGGATTCCAGAACACTGCTGTTGTGTTCTGAGTCTTTGTCCTTCTTGTACGATTCCAGAACACAGCCACGTGGGTCTGAATGTTTGTCCTTCACATATGATTCCAGACGCTGCTACGAGGGACGAAATATTTGTACCACACATAGGACTCCAGAACACTCCTGCTGTGTTCTGAATGTTTGTCCCTCACAAAGGATTCCAGAATACTGCTGCGAGGGTCTGAATGTTTGTCCCGCACATAGGATTCCAGAACACTCCTGCAGTGGTCTAAATGTTTGTTCCTCACACAGAGTTTCAGAACAATCCTGCTGTCGTCTGAATTTATGTCCCTCACATAGGATTCCAGAACACTCCAGCTGTGTTCTAAATGCTTGTTCCTCACGTAGGATTACAGAACACTCCTGCTGTCTTCAGAATGTTAGTCCCTCACATAGGACTCCAGAACACTCCTGCTGTGGTCTGAATTTTTGTCCCTCGCTTAGGATTCCAGAACACTGCTGTTGGGTTCTGAGTGTTTGTCCCTCAGGTACGATTCAAGAACACTGCCACGTGGGTCTAAATGTTTGTCCCTCACATAGGATTCCAGACACAGCTACGAGGGTCTGAACTTTTATCCCGCACATAGGACTTCAGAACACTCCTTCTGTGTTCTGAATGTTTGTCTCTCACATAGGATTTCAGAACAATGCTACGATGGTCTGAATGTTTGTCCCACACGTAGGGTCCAGAACACCCCAGCTGTGGTCTGAATGACTGTCCCTGACATGCAATTCCCAAACACTGCCGCTGGGTTCTGAGTGTTTCTCACTTAGATAGGATTCCAGAACACTGATATGAGGGTATCAATGACTGAACCTCACATAGGATTCCAGAACACTCCTGCAATTGTCTGAGTGTTTGTCCCTCACATAGGATTGCTGAACACTCCTGCTGTGGTCTAAATGTTTGTTCCTAACCTACAATTTTAGAACACTCCTGCTGTCATCTGAATGTTTGTCCCTCACATAAGATTCCACAAGAATGCTACGAGTGTCTGAATGTTTATCCCACACTTAGGATTTCAGAGCACCCCAGTATTGGTCTGAAAGATTGTCCCTCTCATAGGATTCCAGAACACTGCTGGTGGGTTCTGAGTGTTTCTCCCTCACATTGGATTCCAGAACACTGCTACGAGGTTCTGAATGATTGTACCTCACCTAGGATTCCAGAACACTGCTAGGAGGGTCTGAATGTTTGTCCCTCACATAGGATTCCAGAATATTGCTACGAGGGTCTGAAAGTTTTTCCTCACATAGGACTCCACAACACTCCTGCTTTGTTCTAAATGTCCCTCACATAGGATTCCAGAACAATTATCCGAGGGTCTGGACGTTTGCCCCACACGTAGGAATCCAGAACACCCCACCTGTGGTCTGAATGATTGTCCCTCACATAAGATTCCAGAACACTGTTGCTGGGTTCTGAATGTTTCTCCCTCACATAGGATTCCAGAACACTGCTACGAGGGTCTGAATGTACGTCACATAGGATTGCAGAACACTCTTGTCAATGTCTGAATGTTTATCCCTCACATAGGATTCCAGAAAACTCCTGCTGTGGTCTAAATGTTTGTTCCTCACTAAGGATTTCAGAACATTCCTGCTGTCGTCTGAATGTTTGTCCCTCACATAGGATACCACTACACTCCTGCTGTGGATTGAATGTTTCTCCCTCCTTTAGGGTTCCAGAAAACTGTTTTTGGGTTCTGAGTGTTTGTCCCTCACGTACGATTCAAGAACACTGCTAGGTGGGTCTAAATATTTGTCCCTCACATAGGATTCGAGAACCATGCTACGAGAGTCTGCATGTTTGTCCCGCACGTAGGACTCAACAACACTCCTGCTGTGTTCTGAATGTTTGTCCCTCACATAGGATTCCAGAACAATGCTACAAGTGTCTGAATGTTTGTCCCACGTGTAGGATTCCAGGACACCCCAGCTGTGGTCTGAATGACTGTCCCTGACATTCGATTCCAGAGCACTGCTACTGGGTTCTGAGTGTTTCTCCCTCAGATAAGATTCCAGAACACTGCTACGAGGGCATGAATGACTGAACCTCACGTAGGATTCCAGAACACTCCTGCTGTTGTCTGAGTGTTTGTCTCTCACATAGGATTCCTGAACACTCCTGCTGTGGTCGAAATGTTTGTTCCTCACTTATGATTTCAGAATACTCCTGCTGTCATCTGAATGTTTGTACCTCACGTAGGATTCCAGAGACATTGCTGTTGGGTTCTGACTGTGTGTCCCTCACGTAAGATTCAAGAACACAGCTATGTGGGTCTAAATGATTCTCCCTCGTATAGGATTCCAAAACACTGCTATGAGGGTCTGAATGTTTGTCCCACACATAAAATTCCAGAACACTCCTGCTGTGGTATAAATGTTTGTACCTCACATAGGATTTCAGAACATTCCTACTGTCGTCTGAATGTCTGTCCTTCACAGAGGATTGCAGAACACCCCTGCTGTGCACTGACTGTTTGTCCCTCACTCAGAATTCCAGAACACTGCAGTTGGGTCCTGATTATTTGTCCCTCACGTACAATTCCAGAACATTGCCACTTGGGTCTAAAAGTGTGTTACTCACATAGGAATCCAGAACACTGCTACCAGGGTCTGAATGTTTGTCCCTAACATAGGATTCCATATCACTCCTCCTGTGGTCTAACTGTTTGCTCCTTACATAGGATTTCAGAACCATTCTGCTGTCGTCTGAATGTTTGTCCGGCATATAGGATTCCAGAATTCTCCTGCAGTGGTCTAAATGTTTGTTCCTTACATAGGATTTCAGAACACTCCTGCTGTGGTGTAAATGCTTGTTCCTCACTTAGGATTTCAGAACACTCCTGCTGTCATCTGAATATTTGTCCCTCACATAGGATTCCAGAACGCTCCTGATGTGGTGTGAATGTTTGTCCCTCACATAGGATTCCAGATCATTCCTGCTGTGCTCATATCACACTGCTGCGTGGGTATAAATCTTTGTCCCTCAGATAGGATTCTAGAACACTGCTATGGGGTATGAATGTGTGTCCTGCACATAGGATTCCAGAACACTCCTGTTTTGGTCTGAATATTTGTCCCTCACTTAGGATTCCAGAACACTGCTGTTGGGTGGTGAATGTTTGTACCTCACGAAGGGTTCCAGAACACAGCTACATTGTTCTAATGTTTGTCCCTCACATAGGATTCCAGAACACTGCTACGAAGGTCTGAATGTTGCTCCCTCACATGGGATTCCAGAACACTCCTGCTGTGGTCTGTTTGTTCCTCACATAAGATTTCAGAATACTCCTGCTGTCTTCTGAATGTTTGTCCCTCACATAGGATTCCAGAACACTGCTAGGAGGGTCCGAATATTTGATCCTGAAATAAGATTCCAGAAAACTGCTGCTCGAGTCTGAGTGTTTGTCCCTCACATGGCATTCAAGAACACTGCTGCTGGGGTCTGAATGTCCCTCACATAGAATTCCAGAACACGGTTACAAGGGTCTGAATGTTTGTCCCTCACATAGGACTCCAGAACACTCCTGCTATGGTCTGAATGTTGGTCCCTCACATAGGACTCCAGAACACTCCTGCTATGGTCTGAATGTTGGTCCCTCACATAGGACTCCAGAACACTCCTGCTATGGTCTGAATGTTGGTCCCTCACATAGGACTCCAGAACACTCCTGCTGTGGAGTGAATATTTGTCCCTCCCATAGGATTCCAGAACACTGCTCCTGGATTTTCAGTTTTATTCCCTCACAGAGGATTCCAGAACACCACTACGAGGGTATGAATGTTTTACCCTCACAGAGGATTATAGAACACTGCTGCTGGTGTCTAAATGTTTGTCCCTCACATAGGATTCCAGAACATTGTTAAGAGGGTATGAATCTTTGTCCCTGACATAGGATTCCAGAACACTCCTACTGTGGCCTGAATGTTTGTTCCTCACATAGGATTCCAGAACACCCCTGCTGTTGTCTGAATGTTTGACACTCACATAGGACTCCAGAACACTCTTGCTTTCGTTTCAAAGTTTGTCCCTCACATAGGATTTCACAACACTCCTGCAGTGTTCTGAAAATTTGTCCCTCACATAGGATTCCAGAACACTCCTGCTGTGTTCTGAATATTTGTCCCTCACATACGTCTCCATAACACTCATGCTGTGGTTATAATGTTTGTCCCTCAGATAGCATTCAAGAACACTGCTGCTGGAGTCTGAAGGTTTGTCTCTAACATACAATTCCACAGCACTACTGCTCTGGTCTGAAGGTTTGTTCTTCACATATGATTTCAGAACAGTGGTGATGGATTCTGAGCATTTGTCATTCACATAGGATTCCAGAACACTGCAAAGAGGGTCTGAATATTTGTCCCTCACTTAGGATTCCAGAATACTGCTGCTGGGTTCTGAGTGTTTGTCCCACACATAGGATTCCAGAACACTGCTACAAGGCTCTGAATGTTTGTCCATTAAATGATATTCCAGAGCACTGCTGCTGGGGTCTCAATGTTTGTTCCTCAGACAGCATTCCAGAACACTCCTGCTGTGGTCTGAATATTTGTCCCTCACATAGGATTCCATAACACTGCTGCTGTGGTCTGACTGTTTGTCCCTCACATAGGATTCCAGAACAATTCTGCTATGATCTGAATGTTTGTCCCTCACATAGCATTCCAGAAGACTGCTGCTGCGGACTGAATGTTTTTCCCTCACATAGGATTCCAGAACACTGCTCCTAGATTCTGAGTTTTTTTTCCCTCAAATAGGATTCCAGAACACTGCTATGAGGGTATGAAAGATTTTCCCTCAAATAGGATTCCAGAACACTCCTGCTGTGTTCTGAATTTTTGTCCCTCACATACGTCTCCATAGCACTCCTGCTGTGGTTAGAATGTTTGTCCCTCAGATAGCATTCAAGAACACTGCTGCTGGAGTCTGAATGTTTGTCTCTAACATAAAATTCCACAGCACTACTGCTCTGGTCTGAAGGTTTGTCCTTCACATATGATTTCAGAACAGTGGTGCTGGATTCTGAGCGTTTGTCATTCACATAGGATTCCAGAACACTGCTAAGAGGGTCTGAATATTTGTCCCTCACTTAGGATTCCAGAATACTGCTGCTGGGTTCTGAGTGTTTGTCCCTCAAATAGGATTCCAGAACACTGCTGATGGGGTCCAAATGTCTGTCCCTCACATAGGATTTCAGAACACTCCTGCTGTGAGCTGAATGTTTGTCCATCACATAGGATTCCAGAACACTGCTGCTGAGGTCTCAATGTTTGTCCCTCAGAGAGCATTCCAGAACAATCTTGCCGTGGTCTGAATGTTTGTCCCTCATGTAGGGTTCTGTTACACTCCTGCTGTGGTCTAAATGTTTATCCCTCACATAGGACTCCAGAACTCTCCTGCTATGGTCTGAATGTTGGCCCCTCACATAGCAGTCCAGAACACTGCTGCTGTGGACTGAATGTTTGTCCCTCACATAGGATTCCAGAGCACTGCTCCTGGATTCTGAGTTTTTTTTCCCTCACATAGGATTCTAGAACACCCCTACGAGGATACGGATGCTTTTCCCTCACATAGGGTTCCAGAACACTGCTGCTGGGGTCTGAATGCTTGTTCTTCACATAGGATTCCAGAACACTCCTGCTGTTGTCTGAATGTTTGACACTCACATAGGACTCCAGAGCACTCCTGCTGTCGTTTGAATGTTTGTCCCTCACATAGGATTTCAGAATACTTCTACTGTGTTCTGAATATTTGTCCCTCAAATAGGATTCCAGAGAACTGCTACAAGGGTCTGAATATTTCTCCTTCACAAAGGATTCCAGAACACTCCTGCTGTGGTCTGAATGTTTGTCCCTCACATAGGATTTCAGAACACTCCTGCTGTGTTCTGAAAGTTTGTCCCTCACATAGGACTCCAGAACACTCCTGCTGTTGTCTGAAAGTTTCTCCCTCAGATAGCATTGAAGAACAATGCTGCTGGAGTCTGAATGTTTGCCCTTCACATAGGATTCCAGAACACTCTTGTGATGGTCTGAATGTCCCTCACATATGATTCCAGAAAACGCCTGCTGTGGTCTGAAGGTTTGTGCCTCACATAGGATTCCAGAACATTTCTGCTGTGGTCTGAAGGTTTGTGCCTCACATAGGATTCCAGAACATTTCTGCTGTGGTCTGAATATCCCTGACATAGAATTCCAGAACACTGCTATGAGGGTCTGAATGCTTTTCTGTCTCATAACACTCCAGAACACTGCTTCTAGGGTCTGAATGTTGGTCCCTGACATAGGATTCCAGAACACTGCTACGAGGGTCTAAATGTTTGTTCCTCACATAGGATTCCAGAACACTCCTGCTGTTGTTTGTATGTTTGTCTGTCACATAGGATTCCAGAACACTGTGGCTGGGGTATGTATGTCCCTGATATGGGATGGAAGAACGCTGATACCAGGTTCTGAATGTTTGTCTGTCACACAGGATTCCAGAACACCACTATGAGGGTCTGAATGTCTCTCCCTCACAAAGGATTCCAGAAAACTGCTGCAAGGGTCTGAATGTTTGTCCCTCCCATAGGACTCCAGAACACAGCTGCGAGGGTCTAAATGTCTGTCCCTCACATACGATTGCATAACACTGTTAGGAGGGTCAGGATGTTTGTCCTTCATGTAGCATTCCAGAACACTGCTGTCGTGGTCTGAAAGTTTCTCCCTCACATAGCATTCCAGAACACTGCTATGAGGGTCTGAATGTTTGTCCCACACCTAGGATTCCAGAACACCTCTGCTTCCATGCCATGGTCTGAAAGTTTCTCCCTCGCATAGGATTCCAGAACACTGCTATGAGGGTCTGAATGTTTGTCCCACATCTAGGATTCCAGAACACCTCTGCTGGATTCTCAAAGTTTATCCCTCACATATGATTCCAGGACACTGCTACGAGGGTATGAATGCTTGTCCTTCACATAGGATTCCACAACACTGCTACGAGGGTCTGAGTGTTTCTCCCTCACATAGTATTCCAGCACACTTCTGCTGGTGTCTGAATGTTTGTACCTCACATCACATTCCAGAACACTGCTGCTGGGGTTTGAATGTCTGTCCCTCACATAGAATTCCAGAACACTGCTGGGAGGGTCTGAATGTATGTCTCTCCTATGGGATTCCAGAACACTGCTCCAAGGGTCTAAATATCTCTCCCTCACATAAAATTCCAGCACACGGCTACGAAGTTCTGAATGTTTGTCCCTCACATAGGATTCCAGAGCCCCCTTGCTGTGGTCTGAACGTTTGTCCCTCACATAGGATTTCAAAACACTGCTACGAAAGTCTGAATCTTTGTCCCTCACATGGGACTCCAGAACACTCCTACTGGGGTCTCAATGTTTGTCCCTCACATAGGATTCCTGAACACTGCTACAAGGGTCTGAACGTTTGTCCTTGACAAAGGATTCCAGAACACTCCTTCTGTGGTCTGAATATTTGTCCCTCACATAGTATTTCAGAACACTCCTGCTGTGTTCTGAATGTTTGTCCATCACATAGGACTCCAGAACACTCCTGCTGTGTTGTGAAATTTTGTCCCTCACATAGCATTCAAGAACAATGCTATGAGGGTCTGAATGTTTGCACCTCACATGGGATTCCAGGACACTCCTGTTGTGGTCTGAATGTTTGTACCTCGCATAGGATTCCAGAACACTCTTGCTGTGTTCTGAATGTTTGTTCATCACATAGGATTTCAGAACACTCCTACGAGGGTCTGCATGTTTGTCCCTCAAATTGAATTCCAGAACACTCATGCAGTGGTCTGAATATTTCTCCTTCACACAGGATTCCAGAACACTCCTGCTATGGTCTGAGTGTTTGTTCCTCACATAAGATTCCAGAAAACAGCTACAAGGGTCTCAATGTTTGTCCTTCAGGACAAAACACTGCTGTCCTGGTCTGAATATTTGTTCCTCACATAGGATTCCAGAACAATCTTGCTATGGTCTGAATGTTTGTCCCTCACATAGGATTACAGTACACTGCTACGAGGGTCTGAATGCTTGTCCTTCACATAGGATTCCAGAACACTGTTGCTGGGTTCTGAGTGTTTGTGTCTCACGTAGGATTCCAGAAGAAGCTACAAGGGTCTGAATGTTTGTCCATCACATACGACTCCAAAACACTGCTGCTGGCGTCTGAATGTTTGTCCCTCACATAGGATTCCAGAACACTGCAAAGAGGGTCTAAATGTTTGTCCCTCACATAGGATTCCAGAACACTTCTGTTCGGGGTCTGAATGTTTGTCTCTCACATGGGATTCCAGAACACTGCTGCTGTGGTCTAAATGTCTGTCCCTCACATAGGATTCCACAACACTACAAGGCTCTGAATGTTTGTCCCCCACATAGGATTCCAGAACACTGCTGCCATTGTCTAAATATTTGTCCCTCACGTAGGATTCCAGAAGCCTGCTGCGAGTGTCTGAATGTTTGTCCCTCACATAGCATTCCAGAACACTCCTGCTGTGGTTTGAATGTTTGCCCTCACATAGGATTCGAGAACACTCCTGCTGTGGTGGGAATGTTTGTCTCTCAAGTAGGATTTCAGAAAACTGTTATGAGGGTCTGAATGTTTGTCTCTCACATAGGATTCCAGAACACTGCCACAAGGGTCTGAATGTTGGTCTCTCACGCAGGATTCCAGAACACTCCTGCTGTGGTCTGAATGTTTGTCCCTCACACAGGATTCCAGAACACTGCTATGAGGGTCTGAATGTTTGTCCCTCACATAGGATTCCAGAAGACTTATGCTGGCATCTGAATTTTTGTCCCTCACATAGGATTCCAGAACACTCCTGCTGTGGTCTGAATGTTTATCCCTCATGTAGGATTCCAGAACACTGCTATGAAATTCTGAATGTTTGTCCCTCACTTAGGGTTCCAGAAAATTACTATGAGGGTCTGAATGTTTGTCGCTCACATTGGATTCCAGAACACTCTTGCTGTTGTCTGAAAGTTTGTCCCTCACTTAGGATTCCAGAACATTGCTACGAGGGTCTGAATGTTTGTCCTTCACATAGGATTCCAGAACTCTGCTGCTGTGATCTGAATGTTTGTCCCTAACAAAGGATTCCAGAACACTCTTGCTGTGGTCTGATTGTTTGTTCCTCACATAGGATTCCAGAACACCACTACGAGGCTCTGAGTGTTTGTGCCTCACATAGGATTCCAGAACACTGCTGCCATTGTCTGAATGTTTGTCCCCCATCTGGGATTCCAGAACACTGCTGCAAGGGTCTGAATGTATGTCCCTCACATAGGATTCTAGAACATTGATGCTAGGGTCTGTATGTTTGCCCTTAACATATGATTTCAAAACACTGCTCCTGGGTTCTGAATGTTTGTCCTTCACATAGGAATACAGAGCACTGCTGCTGGAGTCTGAATGTTTGTCACTCACATAGTATTCCAGAACACTGCTGCGAGGATCTGAATGTTTGTCCCTCACATGGGATTCCAGAACACTGCTGCGAGGGTCTAAATGTCTGTCCCTCACATAGGTTTCCAGCACAATGGTACCAGGTTCTGAATGTTTGTCCCTAACATGGGATTCCAGAGCACTCCTGCTGTGCTCTGAATGCTTCTCCCTCACATAGGATTCCAGAACACTGCTACGAGGGTCTAAATGCTTATCCCTCATATAGGATACCAGAACACTCCTGCTGAGGTCTGAATGTTTGTTCCTTACATAGGATTCCAGAACACTCCTGCCGTGGTCTGAATGTTTGTCCCTCACATAGGATTCCAGAACATTCGTGCTGGGGTCTCAATGTTTCCCTTAACTTAGGATTTCAGAGCACTGCTCCTGGGGTCTGAATGTTTGTCCCTCACATAGGATTACAGAACACTGCTACGAGGGTATAAATAATTCTCCCTCACCTAGTATTCCAGAACACTGTTGCAAGGGTCTGAATGTTGGTCCGTCATACAGGATTCCGGAACACTGCTGCCGTGGTCTGAATGTTTGTCCCTCACATAGGATTCCGGAACACTGCTGCCGTGGTCTGAATGTATGTCCCTCACATAGGATTCCAGAACACTGCTACTAGGTTCTGAATGTTTTTCCCACACCTAGGATTCCAGAAGACTTCTGCTGGTGTCTGAATGGTTGTCCCTTCCATATGATTCCAGGACACTGCTACGAGGGTCTTAATATTTTTCCTTCACATAGGATTCCAGAACACTGCTGCTAGGGTCTGAATGTTTGTCCCTCACATAGGATTCCAGAACACTGCTGCTGGGGTCTGAATGTCTGCCCCTCAAATCGGATTCCAGAACACTGCTGCTGGGGTTTGAATGTCTTTCCCTCACATAGAATTCCAGAACATGGCTGGGAGGGTCTGAATGTTTGTCTCTCACATGGGATACCAGAACACAGCTGCGAGGGTCTAAATGTCTCTCCCTCACATAAGATTCCAGGACACTGCTACGAGGTTCTGAATGCTTGTCCCTCACATAGGATTCCAGAACACTGCTACGAAGGTCTGAATGTTTGTCCTTCACATAGCATTTCGGAACTGCCATGGTCTGAATGTTTGTCCCTCACATAGTATTCCAGTACAGTGCTATGAGGGTCTGAATGTTTGTCCCTCAGATAGGATTCCAGAACACTGCTACGAGGGTCTGAAAGTTTGTCCCTCACATAGGATTCCAGAACACTGCTGTTGGGGTTTGAATGTCTGTCCCTCACATAGAATTCCAGAACACTGCTGCGAGTGTCTGAATGTTTGTCCCGGAGATGGGATTCCAGAACACTGCTGTGAGGGTCTAAATGTCTGTCCCTGACATAACATTCCAGCACACTGCTACGAGGTTTTGAAATGTTTGTCCCTCACATAGGATTGCAGAGCACTCCTGCTGTGGTCTGAATGTTTGTCCCACACATAGGATTCCAGAACACTCCTGCTGTACTCTGAATGTTTGTCCCTCACATAGGATTCCAGAACATTCCTGATGTGGTCTGATTGTTCCTCACATAGGATTCCAGAACACTGCTACGAGGTTCTGAATTTTTTTCCCTCACATAGGATTCCAGAACACTGCTACGAGGGTTTGAATGTTCTTCCCTCACATAGGATTCCACAACACTACTGCTGGGGTCTGAATGTTTTTCCCTCACGTAGGATTCTAGAACACTCCAGCTGGCTTCTGAGTGTTTGTCCCTCACATAGGATTTCTGAAGACTGCTGCTGTCACTATAGTCGTTGCAAGTGTCTGAATGTTTGACCTTCACCAAACACCAAATATCCTGGCCCTTTAGTCTTGGACTTTCCAGCCTCCAGATCTGTGAGCAATAATCTCTGTTGTTTATGAATTACTCAGTCTAAAGTATTTTGTTATAGTAGCCTAAAGAGACTAAGAGAGCATCAGCTGCCCTGTCACCTCATCACCACATTACTGAAGCTATACTAACAGCAGTCACTTTTCGTGGGTACTTCATGCATGAGACTAAAGGGAACAAATTGCAAGGCATACTAAAGTCCAAAAAAAGAAAAAAATACAATTTGTGTCAACAGAGCAAGCTTCAGAAGCAGACAAAAATATGATTTTGGATTTTTTTTAAACCTCTGGAGAATATGTTAAGGGCTCTAATGAATGAAGTAGACAGCATTCAAGTGTAGATGGGTAATGTAATCAGAAAGACAGACATCGTAAGAACCTTCAACATAATGTAGTGATAAAAAATGTGGTAAATAACTGAAGAATACCTCTGATGGCTTATTAGTAGACTGGACTCAGCTGAGTAAAGAGTCTCTGAGCTTGAGGATTTATCATCAGAAACTTCAAAAACTAAAGAAAAGAAACACTGAAAAGAACAGAAGATGATATCCAAGACTGTGGGACAACTACAAAAGGTGAAACAGAGTAATGAGAATACCAGGAGGAGAAGAAATAGAAGAAAGTTCTGCAACTACCATGTCTGAGAACTTCCAGTATTAATGTCAGACACCAAACCAAAGATCCAGGAAGCTCCGAGAACACCATGCAGAATAAATGCCAACAACCTACACTTGGACATATAATTTTCAAACTATATGAAATAAAAGATAAAGGAAAACTCTGAAAGAAACCAGAGGTGGGGCAGAAAACACCTTACCTACAGAGACACAAAGATAAGAACAGCATTCAACATTGCAGAAATTGTGAAAGCAAGAAGACAGTGAAATGAAAAATTGAAAATATTGACAGAAAAAACCCCACCAACCTAAGTTTCTGTACACACTGAAACCACTCTTCAAAAGTGAAGGAGAATTAAGGCCTTCCTCAGAAAAATAAAAATTCAAGAAACTTGTTGCCAGGAGACCTGTCTTGCAAGAAATGTTAAATGAAATTCTTTAGAGGGAAACAAAAGATATTTAACTGAAACTTGGATCAACAATTTTTTAAAAAGATCATTAAAGAAAGAATTGCGGTACAATAAAAACCTATATATTTATTCTTAATTGATCTGACCAAGAAGTTCACAGACAATAACAAATACACACAGATAGATTATGTATGCTTATACACAAGTGAAATGAGTAACACTAATACAAGGAATGCAATGGAAGGATGGGAGGGAGGAATTGTGGTAAAATAAAAACATGTATTTATTCATAATTGATCTGACCAATAAGTTTGTAGATAACAATAAATACACACAGATAGATTATGTATGCTTATACACAAGGGAAATAAGGAACAATAATACAAGGAATGGAATGGAAGGATGGGAGGGAGGAATCAGGTGTTTTCTTTGTTAAGCAGGTAGTCACCCGTGAAGTGGGATAGTGTTATCTGAAAGTGGACTTGAATTGGTTGTAAATGTATATTGAGGAATTAGGTGTTTTGTTTGTTAAGCAGGTAGTCCTATTTGTGGGTTAGTGGGATAGTGTTATTTGAAAGTGGACTTGAATTTGTTGTAAATGTATATTGCAAATTCTGTGGCAAATAGTTAAAAAAAATTTTAAAAAGAGAAGTACATGCTAAAAAAGACGGAAAATGTAGTCATCTAAAATCATCAATGAAAACTGCAAAAGGCAGAAAAAGAGTGGTAGACAAAAGAATGAAGACTGAGGAGAATGAATAGAAAACAGTAACAAATATAATATATATTAATCCAATGATATCAATAATCACTTTGAATGTTAATAGTATGAATGTACCAATTCAAAGATAGAGATTGTCAGAGCCTATCAAAAGACAGACACATCTTGTTTCACTGCACTTTGCTTTATTGTGTTTTGTGACCATGTTTTTTACATATTGAAAGTTTGTGGCCACCCTGCAATAAGCAAGTCTCACTGGCACCATTGTTCCTAGAGCATGTGCTCACTTCACGTCTCTGTGTCACATTTCGGCATTCTCACAGTATTTTAAGCTTTTTATTATTGAATCTGTTATGGTGATCTGTAATCAGTGATCTTTAATGCTACTGTTGTCATTGTTTTGGGAACCACAAATCACACCCGGATAAGACCGCAAACAATTGACAAATGCGTTTGTTCTGACTGCCCCACCAACGGGCCATTTCTCTTTCTCTCTCTTTTTCTCAGGCTTCTTTTTATTAATATTAAAATGTGGCCAATTAATAACCCTACAATAGCCTCTATATGTTCAAGTGAAAGAAGAGTTGCATGTCTGTCACTTTAAACCAAAAGGAAGAAATAATTAAGCTTAGTGAGGAAGGCATGCTGTAAGCAAGACAGGCCAGTAGCTAGACCTCATGCAACAAACACTTAGCCAAGTTGTGAATGCAAAGGAAGTGTTCTGGAAAGAAATTTAAAGTACTACTCCAGTGAACACATGAATGATAAAAAGCTAAACAGTCTTGCTGCTGTTATGAAGAAAGTTTAATTGGTCTAGATAGAAGATGAAAAAAAAATTCCATTAAGCCTAAGCCTCTCTTTTTACTTTTTTTCTTTGTTTTTAAGACAGAGTTTCATTCTTCTTGCCCAAGCTGGAGTGCAATGGCGCAATCTTGGCTTATCGCAACCTCTGCCTCCCAAGTTCAAGCCATTCTCCTGCCTCAGCATCCCGAGTAGCTGGGATTACAGGCATGCACCACCACGCCTGGCTGATTTTTTATATTTTTAGTAGAGATGGGGTTTCTCCACGTTGGTCAGACTGGTGTCGAACTCCCGACCTCAGGTGATCTGCCCGCCTCGGCCTCCCAAATTGCTAGGATTACAGGTGTGACAGCCACCGCACCCAGCCTCTCTTCAATTCTATGAAGACTCAGAGAGGTGAGGCAGCTGCAGAAGAAAAGTCTGAAGCTAGAAGAGCTTGTTTCTTGAGGTTTAAGGAAAAAAGTCATCTCCATAACATAAAAGCGCAAGATAAAGCAGCGAGTACTGATGGAAAACCTGCAGAAAGCTATCTAGAAGATAACTCATTAAGATGGCTACACTAAACAGATTTGCAATGGAGACAAAACAGCCTTCTACTAGAAGGAGATGCCATCTAGGATGTTCCCAGCTAGAGAGGAGTTGATGCCTGGCTTTAAGGCTTCAAAGGACATGCTGACTCTTTTGTTAAGGGCTAATGCAGTTGGTGATGTTAACTTGAAACCAATGATAATTTACTATTCTGAAAATCCAAGGGCCCTGAAGAATTATGATAAAACACAGCTCTGCCTGTACTCTACAAATGGGAACAAAGCCTGGATGACAGACTATCGGTTTACAAATATGGTTTACTGAATATCTTAAGCCCACTGTTGACACCTACTGCTCAAGAAATAAGATTACTTCAAAGTATTACCGCTCACTGACAATGCCCCTGGTACTCAAGGGCTTTTACAGAGATGTATAAAGAGCTGAATATTGTTTTCATGCCTACTAACCCAACATTCATTCTAGTGCCCTTGGATCACAGAATAATTTCAACTTTCAAGTCTTATCACTTAAAAATATATTTCATAAAGCTATAGCTTCTCTAGAAAGTGATTCCTTTGATAGATCTGGGCAAAATAATTGAAAACCTACCGGAAAGGATTCACCATTCTAGATGCTATTGAGAACATTGATGATTTAAAAAAGAAGATCAAAATAGCAACATTAGGAGAAGTTGGGGCCGGGCTTGGTGGTTCATGCCTGTAATCCCAGCACTTTGGGAGGCCAAGGCACGTGGATCACGAGGTCAGGAATTTGAGACCAGACTGGCCAACAAAGTGAAATCCTCTCTGTACTAAAAACACACAAAAAATTAGCTGGGCCTGGTCGGGAGTGACTGTAATCCCAAATACTTGGGAGGCTGAGGCAGGAGAATTGCTTGAACCCGGGAGGTGGAGGTTGCAGTGAGCTGAGATCGCATCACTGCACTCCAGCCCAGGCAAGATTTCATCTCAAAAAAAAAAAAAAGAGAGAGAGAAGTTGGGAAGATTATTCCAACCCTCACAGATGACACTGAGGGGTTCACGACTTCTCTGTAGGAAGTAACTGCAGATATGGTGGAAATAACAAGAGCACTAGAAACAGAGACAGAGCCTGAAGATGTGGCGAGACCGCAGCAGCCTCCAGAGAAAACGTGAGTGGATGAGTTGCTTCCACGGATGAGCAAAGAAAGTGGTTTCTTGAGATGAAATCTACTCGTGGTGAAGACAGTGTAAACATTGTTGAGATGACAACAGATTTAGAATAAACTTAGTTGGTACAGCAGAAGGAGGGCTTGACAGGATTGAACCCAGTGATTTACAATAATACATAAACTTAGTTGGTACAGCAGTACGAAGGTCTGACAGGATTGAATCCAATTTTGAAAGTTCTACTGTGGGTAAAAAGCTATCAAACAACATCGTATGCTACAGATAATTCTTTTGTGAAACAGAGAGTCAATTGACACAGCAAACTTCAATGTTGTCTTATTTTAAGAAATTGCCACAGCCACCCCAACGCTCAGCAACCACCACCTTACATTAAGGCAAGTCCCTCCATCAGCAAGAAGACTGAAACTTGGCCAGGTGCAGTGGCTCACACCTGTCATCCCAACAACTTGGGAGGCCAAGTTGTGTGGATTGCTTGAGCCCAGGACGTCAAGGCAACATGGCAAAACCTCATCTCTACAAAAAAAAAATACAAGAATTAGCTGGACATGGTGGCATGCACCTGTAGTCCCAGCTAGTCAGGAGTCTGAGGTGGAGGTTTGATCGAGCATGAGGTTGAGGCTGCAATTACTCCAGCCTGAGCCACAGAGTAAAACCCTGTCACACACAAAAAAAAAGATTGCAGTTTTCTGAAGGCTCAGATGACTGTTAGCACTTGTTAACAATAACGTATTTGTAAATTAAAGTATGCACACTTTGTAGACATATGCTGTTGCACACTTTATACAGCACAGTATAAACATACTTTTACATGCACTGGGAAACCAAAAGAAATTGTATAACTCACTTTATTGCAGTGGTCTGGAACCAAACCCACATATATCTCTGATGCATGGCCGTCCTGTATTGTACACTTAAAAAAAAACTTAAGAGGGTATATTTTAGGTGAAATGGTCATCTCATTTTTTTTTTTTGACATGGAGTCTCGCTCTGTTGCCCAGGCTGGAGTGCAGTGGCACTACCTTGGCTCACTGCAAGCTCTGCCTCCCGAGTTCACACCATTATCCTACCTCAGTCTCCCAAGTAGCTGGGACTACAGGCGCCTGCCATCACGCGCAGCTAATTTTCTGTATTTTTAGTAGAAACGGGGTTTCACTGTGTTAGCCAGGATGGTCTTGATCTCCTGACCTCGTGATCCACCTGCCTCGGCCTCCCAAAGTGCTGGGATTACAGGCGTGAGCCACCGCTCCCGGTCTCATTTTTTAAAAAGCGTGAGAATGAGAAATATATGGGGAGTGATGGTCAAGTTTACGGCATTATTTGTTGTGATGAGTCCTGGGGAGAATACTTATCACTAAACTCATTAAGATGTATATATTCGGTGTCACATGCCTGTAATCCCAGCACTTTGTGAGGCCAAGGCAGGTGGATCATCTGAGGTCAGGAGTTCGAGACCAGCCTGGCCAACATGGTGAAACCCTGTCTCTACTAAAAAAATACAAATATTAGCTGGGCGTGGGGGCGCACACCTGCGATACCAGCTACTCAGGAGGCTGAGGCAGGAGAATTGCTTGAACCTGGGAGGCAGAGGTTGCAGTTAGCTGAGATCGTGTCACTGCACTCCAGCCTGGGCCACAAGAGTAAAACATCCATCACACACACACACACACAAACACATACACACAAGGTATATATTAAATATTTGTAATTTTTGTATGTCAACCACAACTTAGTTTTATTTTATTTTATTTTATTTTGAGACAGAGTCTCGCTCTGTCACCCAGGCTGGAGTCCAGTGGTGCAATCTCGGCTCACTGCAAGCTCCACCCTCCAGGTTCACACCATTCTCCTGCCTCAACCTCCGGAGTAGCTGGAACTACAGGCACCCGCCACCACGCCCGGCTAATTTTTTGTATTTTTAGTAGAGACGGCTTTTCTCCGTGTTAGCCCAGATGGTCTTGATCTCCTGACGTGATCTGCCTGCCTCAGCTTCCCAAAGTACTCCGATTACAGGTGTGAGCCACCGCACCCAGGCAATTTTTATTTTTTTGAGTCAGAGTCTCACTCTGTCACCCAGGCTGGAGTGCAGTGGCACTATCTTGGCTCACTGCAACCTCTGCCTCCCATGTTCAAGCAATTCTCCTGCCTCAGTCTCCCGAGTAGCTGGGACTACAGATGCATGCTATCATGCCTGGCTAATTTTTTGATTTTTAATAGAGATGAGGTTTCACCATGTTGGCCAGGCTGGTCTCAAACTCCTGACCTCATGTGATCTGCCCACCTCAGCCTCCCAAAGTGCTGGGATTACAGGTGTAAGCCACTGCACCTGGCAATTTTTAAATATATATAACTAAAAATTAATAAAAAACAGGTATTTGCAAGTTTCCGTTTTGTTATATGCTTATTATTCTTTATCTTTATGTCAGGTTGTTGTGTCAATACACTTAGGAGATCATAGTTTCTAAATTGAAATACATATAAATATGTCTGAAATTTTTTCTTTTTTCTTTTTTTTTTGAGATGGACTCTCGTTCTGTCACCCAGGCTGGAGTGCAGTGGTGCAATCTCAGCTCACTGCAACCTCCGCCTCCCAGATTCAAGTGATTATCCTGCCTCAGCCTCCAGAGTAGCTGGGATTACAGGCACCCGCCACGACACCCAGCTAACTTTTATATATATATTTTCTATTTTTAGTAAAGACAGGGTTTCACCATGTTGGCCAGGCTGGTCTCCAACTCCTGACCTCAGATGATCCACCCGCCTCGGCCTCCCCAAGTGCTGGGATTAAAGGTGTGAGCCACTGTGCCTGGCCTGGAATTTTTTTCTAAAATTTACATTTCTGAGTTAAGAATGCTTAAAATATTATAAAAACAGAAGCAAAATTCATTATGTGTTTCATTAATTACCTTTATTAAAAACAATGCAATTATATTACAATAGGACAAAAAATGTTTAAGCAAACGAAAAGAAAACCATGACATACCCAAACTCAGGAGGAGGCAACGAAGGCAGTGCTAAAGGGAAGCTTACAGCTGCAGATGCTTAAATTAAAAAGAAGAAAGATCTCAAACCCATGCTAAAGGGAAGCTTACAGCTGCAGATTCTTAAATTAAAAAGAAGAAAGATCTCAAACCCATGCTAAAGGGAAGCTTATAGCTGCAGGTGCTTAAATTAAAAAGAAGAAATATCTCAAATCAATAACCTAACATTACACCTGAAGGGGGGAAAAAAAAAACTAATGACAAACCAAGCAAAAGGAAGAAAATAACAGATTAGAGCAGAGATAAGCAGAATAATACCAGAAAAAAAAGGAAAAAAAAAACACACTGAGTTTTTTTTAAAGATCAATAACAATTTTAAAACTCACAGCTATATTAAGAAAAAAAGAGAAATCTCAAATACTAAAATCGTAAATAAAAGAGGTGACAGTACAACAGATGCCACAGAAATGAAAAAAATTACAAGAGACTAATGTGAGCAACCGTATGCCACAAAACTGGGCAACCTAGAATAAATTTATAAATTCCTAGAAACACAAACCACCATACTGAATCACGGAGAAATAAAAAATCCAAAGAGACCTGTAACTAGTAAGAAGATTCAACCAGTAATCAAAAACCCCCAAAAAAGAAAATTCCAGGTCCAGATAACTTCACTGGAGAATTTTACCAAACATTTCAAGAAGAATTAATGCCAATCCTCTGCAAAATATTCCAAAAATGTTCAAAAACCAGAAGGGGACATTCCAATCCATTCTATCAGGTCAACATTTATCTGGTTCCAGAGCCAGATGAACACCTTTTGTAATAAAAAGACTCAAAGAATTAGTAATATATGGAAACTCCTCAGTAAATAAAGATTGTACATGAAAAGCTCACAGCTAACATCATACTCAATGGTGAAAAACTAAAATCTTTTCCTCTAGGATCAGGAATAAGATAGCAACATCCCTTCCTGCCACTTCTATTCACCAAAGCACTGGAATTTCTACTCAGAATAATTAGGCAAGAGAAAGTAATAAAAAGCATGCAAATTGGAAAGGAAAAAGTACAAAGTTTTGTTCACAGACAACAGGATGTAATGGGAAAAATCCTGAAATTCCACAAAATACTGGTAAAATAATGAAATTCAACAAAGTTTCAGGATACAGTAAAACACACAAGTCAGTTGCATTTCCATAAACTAACAATGAACAATCTGCAAATAAAATTTTAAAAAGAGAGGCCAGGTGCAGTGGCTCACACTTATAATCCCAGCACTTTGGGAGGCCAAGTCGGGTAGACCACCTGAGGTCAGGAGTTCGTGACCAGCTGGGCCAACCCCATCTCTAATATAAATAGTAAAACTCTGTCTCTATTAAAAATACAAAAATTAGCTGGGCATAGTGGCAGACACCTGTAGTCCCAGCTACTTGGGAGGCTGAGGCAGGAGAATTGCTTGAACTTGGAAGGTGGAGGTTGCAGTCAGCTGAGATTGTGCCACTGCGCTCCAGCTTAGGAAACTGAGTGAGACACCATCTCAAAGAAAAGAAAGAAAGGAAAGAAAGAGAGAGAAAGAAAAGAAAAGAAAGATAAAACAAAAGAAAAGAAATTTTTGAAAAGAATGACATTTGGCTGGGTGCAGTGGTTCATGCCTGCAATCCCAGCAGTTTGGGAGGCCGAGGCGGGCAGATCACCTGAGGTCACAAGTTCAAGACTTGCCTGGTCAACATGGAGATACCCTGTCTCTACGAAAAATACCAAAAAATTAGCTGGGCGTGCTGGCGCACACCTGTGATCCCAGGTAATTGAGAGGCTGAGGTTGGAGAATTGCTTGAATAAAGAAGGCGCAGGTTGCAGTGAGCTGAGATAGTGCCACTGCACTCCAGCCTGGGAGACAGAGCAAGACTCCATCTCAAAAAAAAAAAAAAGAATTACATTTAAAACAGCATTATAAAAATTAAAAATAAGCTTAACAAAAAGGGCAAAAGATTTGAACACAGAAAACTACAAAACACTGTTGAAAGAAATTAAACACAAATAAACGAAAAAGAAAAGCTGGGTTTGCAGATTAGATGATTTCATCTTGGAATGATGTCAACACTACTCGAAGTGACCTAGATTCAATACAATCCTTATAAAGATTCCAATGACATTTTTGATAAACAGAAAAACCTATATTAAAATTCATATGGAATCTCCAGGGCCCATGAATAGGCAAATCAATCTTGAAACAGAACAAAATTAAAGGTCTCAATACAATTAACAAACTGCAATAAGCCAAAAAAAAATGTGGTCATGGCATAAAGACATACTTGACACAGTTATGGACCAACACAACAGAGACCTCAGAAGCCAACCCTGGCATATATGGTTTGATGATCTTCCAGAAGGATGCCAAGACCACTCAATGGCAAAGGACAGTTTCTTCAACAAATGGTGTTGGGAAAATTGTATATCTACATGCAAAACAATGAAGTTGGACTCTTACCTTACACCACGTTAAAATTAATTCAAAGTGAATTATAAACCTAAATGTAAAACTAGAACTATCAAACTCCTAGGGAAAACAAATTTGGAAAATGCTTTATGACGATGAATTTGTCAATAATTTTTAGGATACGACATTAAAAGCTCAGGCAGTAAAAGCAAAAATATATCAAACTTAAAACTTTTGTACCACAAAGGTAACAAACAACAGGGTAAAAGGCAAACTGTAGAATAAAAGAAAATACCAGTTGAGTGTCCCTTATTTGAAATGCTTGGGATGTGTTTCAGATTTTGTAATATTTGCATTATTCTTACTGGTTAAGCATCTCGAATTCAAACACCTGAGTCTGAGATGCTCCAATAAGCATTTCCTTTGAGTGTCATGTTGGCACTCAAAAAGTTTCAGAATTTGGAGCATTTGGGATTTCAGATTTTTGGATCAGAGACATTCAACCTATAGTTGCACATCATGTATCTCATAAGAAGTGAATATTCAGAATACGTAAAGTACTCCTACAGAGAGACTACCAGAAGCAGAGAGGAGCAGACACATTTTCACACTAGGGCACCTCCTATCTCTCCCGGATTCCAATTAGGGCAGAGTAAGTGCTAGTTCTCTGCCAACCCAGGATTAGGCCCTGCAGCTGCAGTGAAAATAATCACAGAAGAAAACTAAGAACTAAAAAATGGAGAAAGTGAGACATGAATCTAAAATTACTAGAAACCCCCGGGAAGAAGGAAAAAGAAACCAAGAAAACAGAAAAACAATTAAACCAGTTAATTAAACCTTGGCATGACCAGAAGATCAGAGTTTCCTAAAGGAGTGGAAATCTATTGATTTGAAGAGGATTTATTGATTACTGATTTGAAGAGGAAGAAAAACCATGAGTGGTCTAAAGCAAAAGCCTAGTGTCTGAAGAAGTCAGTAGGGTGAAAACAAGAGCTGGCCAGAATATCCACAGATGGTGACAAGTTGGCAAAGCCTTTACTAGACTACTCGTGAGGCTAACTAGAGGCCAAGGAGCCAACACTGTCCCTGTCCTTACAGAGAGACCCTACACAGGATTCCCAGATATACATGGAAGGACAACATCTTATCAGGTCCTCTCTGTGCAGATGTGGTTATCATTCCAAAAAATGAGCTCCAGCCCCAAGATTGTTCGATCCTCAATTGCTTTGAGTGGGCAATGTAGGCTCTCCACACACGAGCTACATGTAGGTTCCTTGGGTACCCAGATGGGAGCCATGAAACACAAACCCTCCATGGTCAGGTCTGTATTTGTTTCCTGCCTTTTCCCCGGCAATCCCAGGCCCCAGCAGTGGTGGTCTACCTCTGCTGATTCTCATTCAGAATCTAAACTTAGAAACAATTAGAACCTAGACCCCAATTCTACCTGAAAGTAACAGAATAACATAATCTATACCCTGCAGCATGACTGTTTGCCCAACGTAATGAGGATGAACTGAGAGATAATGAATGATCATGACCCTGGCCCAAGTAAGGAGAATGAACTGTGAGATAAATGAATGATCATGACAAAAAAACCCCACTACAACCCAACAACAAAATAAAGTGATTAAAAAAATGGACAAACAACATTTATCCAAAGATGCAAAGATGATATACAAATAGCCAACAGATACATGAGATATATGAGAAGATGTGTAACATCACTAGTCATTAGAGAAATGCAAAAAGAAACCACAATGCGACATCACTTCAAACCCAACAGAAAGTAACAAGCGCAGGTGAAACTGAAACCTTTGAACACTGTTGGTGGAAATATGAACTGGCTCCTCAAAAAAAATAAAATAAAATGACCATATGATCCAGCCATCCAACTACTACAGAGACAGAATAACTAGTAGCAGGACCTCA